>NC_000024.10:3038717-3339127 GCF_000001405.40 Homo sapiens | reverse complement strand
TTTCTATTGTTTGGAATGGTTTCAGAAGGGATGGCACCAGCTCCTCTTTGTACCTCTGGTAGAATTTAGCTGTGCATCCATCTGGTCCTGGGCTTTATTTGGTTGGTAGGCTATTAATTACTGCCTCAATTTCAGAACTTGTCATTGGTCTATTCAGGGATTCAACTTTTTCTGGTTTAGCCTTGGGAGTGTGTACGTGTTCAGGAATTTATCCATTTCTTCTAGATTCTCTAGTTTTATTTGCATAGAGGTGTTTATAGCATTCTCTGATGGTCATTTGTATTTCTGTGGGATCAGTGGTGATATCCCCTTTATCATGTTTTATTGTGTCTATTTGATTCTTCTCTCTTTTCTTCTTTATTAATCTGGCTAGCAGTCTATCTATTTTGTTAATCTTTCCAAAAAAACAGCTTCTGGATTCATTGATTTTTTAAAAATATTTTTTGTGTCTCTATGTCCTTCAGTTCTGCTCTGATTTTAGTTATTTCTTCTCTTCTACCAGCTTTTGAATTTGTTTGCTCTTGCTTCTCTAGTTCTTTTAATTGTGATGTTAGGGTGTTGATTTTAGATTTTTCCTGCTTTCTCCTGTGGCCATTTAGTGCTATAAATTTCCCTCTACACACTGCTTTAGCTGTGTCCCAGAGATTCTGGTACATTGTGTCTTAGTTCTCATTGGTTTCAAAGAACTTATTTATTTCTGCCTTAATTTTGTCATTTACCCAGTAGTCATTCAGGAGCAGGTTGTTCAGTTTCCATGTAGCTGTGTGGTTTTGAGTGAGTTTCTTAATCCTGAGTTCTAATTTGATTGCACTGTGGTCTGAGAGACTGTTTGCTATGATTTCCGTTCTTTTGCCTTTGCTGAGGAGTGTTTTACTTCCAATTATTGGTCAATTTTAGAATAAATGTGATGTTGTGCTGAGAAGGATGTATATTCTGTTGATTTTGGGTGAAGAGTTCTGTAGATCTCTATTAGGTCTGCTTGGTCCAGAGCTGATTTCAAGTCCTGAATATGCTTGTTAATTTTCTGTCTCATTGATCTGTCTAATATTGACAGTGGGGTGTTAAAGTCTCCCACTATTATTGTGTGGGAGTCTAAGTCTCTTTGTAGGCCTCTAAGAACTTGCTTTATGAATCTGGGTGCTCCTGTATTGGGTGCATATATAGGATAGTTAGCTCTTCTTGTTGCATTGATCCCTTTACCATTATGTAACGCCCTTCTTTTTCTGTTTGGATCTTCATTGACTTAAAGCCTGTTTGATCAGGGACTAGGATTGCAACCCCTGTTTTTTTTTTTGTTTTTTTTTTTTTTTGCTTTCCATTTGCTTGGTAAATATCACTCCATCCCTTTATGTTGTACCTATGTGTGTCTTTGCACATGAAATGGGTCTCCTGAATACAGCACACCTATGGGTCTTGACTCTTTATCCACTTTGCCAGTCTGTGTCTTTTAATTGGGGCATTTATCCCTTTTATATTTAAGGTTAATATTGTTATGTGTGAATTTGATCCTGTCATTATGATGCTAGCTGGTTATTTTGCCCATTAGTTGATACAGTTTCTTCATAGTGTCAATGGTCTTTACAATTTGGTATGTTTTTGCAGTGGCTGGTACCAGTTTTTCCTTTTCATATTTAGTGCTTCTTTCAGGAGCTCTTTCAAGGCAGGCCTGATGGTGACAAAATCTCTCAGCCTTTGCTTGTCTGTAAAAGGTTTTATTTCTCCTTCACTTATTAAGCTTAGTTTGGCTGGAAATGAAATTCTGGGTTGAAAACTCTTTCTTTAAGAATGTTGAATATTGGCCCCCACTCTCTTCTGCCTTGTAGGCTTTCTTCAGAGAGTTCCACTGTTAGCCTGATGGGCTTCCCTTTGTGGGTAACCTGACCTTTCTCTCTGGCTGCCCTTAACATTTTTTCCTTCATTTCAGCCTTGGTGAATCTGATGATTATGTGTCTTGGAGTTGCTTTTCTCGAGGAGTATCTTTGTGGTGTTCTCTGTATTTCCTGAATTGGAATGTTGGCCTGTCTTGCTAGGTTGGGGAATTCTCCTGGATAATATCCTAAAGAGTGTTTTCCAACTTGGTTCCATTCTCCCTGTCACTTTCAGGTACACCAATCAAACATAGGTTTGGTCTTTTCACACAGTCCCATGTTTCTTGGAGGCTTTGTTCGTTCCTTTTCATTCTTTTTGTCTAATCTTGTCTTCATGCTTTATTTCATTGAGTTGATCTTCAGTCTCTCATATCGTTTCTTCTGCTTGGTTGATTTGGCTATTGATACTTGTGTATCCTTCACGAAGTTCTCATGCTGTGTTTTTCAGCTCCATCAGGTCATTTATGTTCTTCTCTATACTGGTTATTCTAGATAGCTATTCCTCTAACCTTTTTCCAAGGTTCTTTGCTTCTTTGTATTGGGTTAGAACATGCTCCTTTAGCTCAGAGAAGTTTATTACCCACCTTCTGAAACCTACTTCTGTCAATTTGTCGAACTCATTCTCTGTCCAGTTTTGTTCCCTTGCTGGAGAGGAGTTGTGATCCTTTGGAGGAGAAGAGGTGTTCCTGTTTTTGGAATTTTCAGCCTTTTTGTGCAGGTTTTTCCTCATCTTCATGGATTTACCTACCTTTAGTCTTTGATGTGGTGACCTTCTGATGTGGTTTCTGTGTGGAAGTCCTTTGTGTTGATGTCGATGCTATTCCTTTCTGTTTGTTAGTTTTCCTTCTAACAGTCAGGCCCCTCTGCTGCAGGTCTGCTGGAGTTTGCTGGAGGTCCACTCCAGACCCTATTTCCCTGGGTATCACTAGTGGAGGCTGCAGAAGAGCAAAGATTGCTGCCTGTTCCTTCCTCTGGAAGCTTCATCCCAGAATGGCACCTGCCAGACGCCAGCCAGAGCTCTCCTGTATGAGATGTCTGTTGATCCCTGCTGGGAGGTGTTCTTCCAGTCAGGAGGCACAGTGGTCAGCGACCCACTTTAGGAGGCACTCTGTCCCTTAGCAGAGTTTGAGCACTGTGCTGTGAGATCCACTGCTCTCTTCAGAGTCAGCAGGCAGGAACATTTAAGTGTGCTGAAATTGTGCCCACAGCCGCCCCTTACCCCAGGTGCTCTGTCCCAGAAAGATGGGAGTTTTATCTATAAGCCCCTGATTGGGGCTGCTACCTTTCTTTCAGAGATGCTCTGCCCAGACAGGAGGAACCTAGAGAGGCAGTCTGGCTACAGCAGCGTTGCTGAGCTGTGAGGCCTCCACCTAGTTCAAACTTCCTGGTGGCTTTGTTTCGACTGTGAGAGGTAAACCACCTACTCAAGCCTCAGTAATGGCAGACGCCCCTTCCCCCTCCAAGCTCAAGTATCCCAGGTTGACTTCAGACTGCTGTGCTGGCAGCAAGAACTTCAAGCCAGTGGATCTTAGCTTTCTGGGCTCTAGGGGGTGGGATCCACTGAGCTAGACCACTTGTTTTCTTGGCTTCAGCCCCCTTTCAAAGGGAGTGAATGATTCTGTCTTGCAGGCATTCCAGGTGCCACTGGAGTAAGAAAAAATACTCCTGCAGCTAGCTCGGTGTCTGCCTAAATGGTCACCCAGTTTTGTGCTTGAAACCCAGGGCCCTGGTGGCATAGGCACCCGAGGGAATCTCCTGGTCTGTGGCTTGCAAAGACCATGGGAAAAGCGTAGTATCTGGGCTGGAGTGCACTGTTCCTCATGGCACAGTCCCTCACAGCTTTCCTTGACTAGAGGATGGAGTCCCCTGACCCCTTGTGCTTCCTGGGTGAGGCGATGCCCCACCCTGCTTTGGCTCGTCCTCCATGGGCTGCACCCACTTTTAACCAGTCCCAATCAGATGAGCCAGGTACCTCAGTTGGAAATGTGGAAATCACCTGCCTTCTGCATTGATCTTGCTGGGAGCTGCAGACCGAAGCTGTTCCTATTCAGCCATCTTGCAAGCCACCCAGAAAAGTTTTTAAGTCAGGTATAAAAAATGGCATAAAGGTTTGGAATTGGGAAACAAGTGGTATGTTTAGAGAAGAAAAAAGATCCAGACAGACTGGGAGTGGTGGCTCACGCCTGTAATCCTAGCACTTTGGGAGGCTGAGGCAGGTGAATTACCTGAGCTGAGGAGTTCAAGACCAGCCTGGGCAACATGGTGAAACCCTGTCTCTACTAAAATATAAAACATTAGCCAGGCATGGCGACATATGCCTGTAGTCCCAGCTACTCAGGAGGCTGAGGCAGGAGAATTGTTTGAACCCGGGAGGCAGAGGTTGTAGTGAGCCAACACTGCACCACTGTACTCCAGCCTGGGCGACAGAGTGAGACTCCATCTCCAAAAAAAGATCCAGACAACTAGAATATGATCTTTTACTTACCTTAGATGTGGGCCATTAAATGGTCATCTGAGTTTATTCTCTACTTTTCATTATTTCATCAAGATAGTGACATTAGCTTGGAACATTTCTGTAATGAGTTGTGTTTTCCTGAATGCATTTACTCTTAGGCTTTTCTCAAGAAAGCACACGAACTGGCTCTATTTTTTTTCTTTCTACTTGAAAGGAATGAGAGACACTTATCCTTTAAACACTCCCTAAGGTTACTAATAATGGAGAGAGGATATAATTGTGCCTACACTGAACAAACTGCTAGCTGAAATGTCATTTTATAGCAGGCCAATGAAAGACTTTACCCAGTTTTCTTGCCTCAGTATAAAGAAAAGCACCATCAAACATTTGATTGCCTTGCCATAACTTAAGACGTAGGCTTCGGTTTCTTTTTTTAGCACATTGCAAACTATCTACTCTGTGTTCTTGATCCATTCCACCACTATTATAAAAGCAATATGAGTTTGACACTTTGTACTTTGTATTAATGAGATACTTATTGCCCAAGAGCGGTTCTAGAAATTTAAACCTCAACATTAGCAAACTGTTAACTAAAGCCATAACATTTCTCCAAATGTTTATCTTTTTATTAAAAGAGTATCTATGCCTGGTTTCTTCAATTCTGTGAACAATTTGTCTTTCGCACTTCTCTCCAATTGTCAGGTCTTCCTAAATACTTATTCACATGCAAACTTGCCAAATCAAGTTAATGCTCTGCATCACACTTCAAAAACTCCTGCTAATTCTAACCAACACCATAGCAGGGCAGGTGTAAGAAAAAATATATTTACTTTTACAGCAAAAATGTGAAGTCTCTACTTAAACAGTTGTATCAGGACTAAGCTACAGACATCAATTGCACATGGCTTTCTTATTTATTTATTCCTCACTTTTTTGCAAGAAATAATTTATGATATTCATAATTTTAGTCAACATAATTATATATTTTATATTTTAGTGAGTCATATCTGCAGATTGAGTAAGAACACACAGAAACATTCTCTTTCTGTACTTGGTTTTCAACTAACAAAATTTGTTTTAATTCTTTGATATGCAGATTGATACAGAATTTTTAGTTGTTTGTGAACCTATCTGAAAATCTCTTTGGTGTTTCACAGTGTACTAAAGACACTTAAAAGACTTTTTAATTTTTTTTTTCAATTTTAGGACCATATTGGTAATGATGAACTACTGATTTTATAAACATTATTTTTATCTTTTTGAGAAATAATAAAATCACCTTTTTATAAGCACAAAATATGAAAATGAAAATATACACATTTTGATTGATAACATAAAAAGTTTGCATCTTAACCCATCTCATTTTTAAATTTCTTATTCCTCACTGGAAAGTAGATATCTTCTGCTGGGGGAGTGAGGAGCGGGAACGAGGAGGATGGGTCTATAGATGCAGCAAACCACCATGGCAAACACATACATATGTAACAACCCTCCACGTTCTGCACATGTATCCTTTTTGTGTTTTGTTGTTGTTGTTGTTTTAGAAGAAATACAGAAAAAAAGGAAATCTTCTGTTAGGCTGATAGCACTGGACCACAGTATGCAGGGCAATGTTTTCAAATTAGTTGAGAAGCCTCCATTAGAGTAAAGGTACCGGTTACACTTGCCTTAAAGTTTAGTCCAATTTCAAAAATTGAAAATGCTTCATATTATACATTTTAAATCATTATTTGGAATAGAATTAGACTTAGAGAGGTATACACAACTGCTCCTAACACTGTTAGTAGGGTGGAGGTTCCACAACAGGAGGGACAACCTAAAAGACCAGGGGAAATCCTCCCACAGAGTGCTCATTTGTACACTGTGGATACGACCCCAGGTAAAGCAGACCCCCATCCCAACTTTAAGACAGTTGTTGCAGGGGTTCTGCTGAGGGGGAAAGGAAGGATGTAAGGGATAATAGCACAGCATCTATGCCTGAGGAGACTAATTTTATTTGAAACAGAGGGTGGAGAACTATATGCTTAGGGACATGGTAGTAAACAATAAAAGTCTTGGTAAAGAACATTTAAAAGGAGGGTGATAGCTTCTTGAGAAGGCAAAATGTCAAAGCAGTCAGAGATTCAGTGAAGAGAACCAGGAAAAAAGACACCCCAAAAGAGCCCTCCTCATATCAGGGTCAATTCTGAGTGTTGACCCTGAGCACCTACTGAGCAGCAGCCAAAGCAAGTTGTGGTGCAGAATTGAAATTATTCCCCAAGCTACACACATACTCAAAAAACCCATGATAGAATCCACATTGACATGACAGGCTTTAAAACAATCTCTGTCAAAACACTAAACCAAAACCTACTTTGACCCATGAAAGACTCTTTGGATGCCAGACTTAAAAGCAATATCATGGTAATCCTGGCAAAGAAAATATCTACTCAGGAGCTATCAGAGAAGGAAACCTCAAGCTACTAGTCTCTGAATGAATATGAGGTAAACATACGTAACATAATCTTCATGAATTGTGATAGAGACTTTTAAGCCACATGCACATGCGCATGCACACACACACACACACACACACACACACAGCTAAAGGCAAAAATTAAAAATCTAGCAGGCTAAGAGCACAACCTTTTACTAATAAGTGGTATAAGCTGACCTAGTGGTAACACTAGGTAACCATGCTAAAATATAAAAATGGAGAAAATATTAGTAGGAACATCAGATTCTTCTTACTGTGAAGAAAATATATTTTTCAGAATTAACTAAGCCAAGTCATTAAACAAACAACAAAACAAAAACATACAAAAATATTACAGTAATCCCGTTACCTTTCCTGTTGCTTTGAAATTCCAATTTTTATTACAAATTAGACATTTTAGATAATCAGTTGTAACAATTCTAGATAAACTGTGTTCTCTAAAATGTCCTTATTTCAACCAAAAAAATGTTTCAATAAACAGGAAAATGAGACTGATACATAGGCAAAAAGCCATGCAAAAGAAATAGACTTTGAGGGATAGAAACGTGGCAACTTATCAGAAAATATTTTCAAAGAAGCTATTATAACTATGCCCACAAAGCTAAAGAAAAAAAAAAGTTAAAATTTTGAAGGAATGTATGTTGATAGTATTTCACCAGATAGAATATATCAAAAATGGAAATAATTAAAAAGGATTTAGTTGAAATATTAAAGGTGAAAAATATAACAACCAAAATGAAAAAAAAAGAACTAGAAAGTTTAATAGATTTGCGCTGTCATGAGAATCAATCAGTGAACTTGAAGATAGATTGTTAGAGATCAGTATTCTGAAAAACAGAGAGGAAAAATGATGAAAAATGGCAGTGTCAGAGAAATATGGTGGGGCATTAAGCATACTAATATATACATAATGAATGTACTAGAAGAAGAGAAGAGGGAACAAGAGACAGAAAAATGTTTGAGAAAATAATGACTGAAACATTTCAAAATTGCATGAAAAATATTAATTTAGACATTTACAAATCTCAACAAATTCCAGGTAGGATAAATACGAGAACATCCACACTCAGAAAACTCATTATAAAAATATTCAAAGACAAAGAGAAATTATTGAAGTCAACAAGAGAAAAATAATACATCATGTAGAATATAAGAACAGTATCTGACTTTCCATCAGAAATAATAGAAGCTAGAGGCATTGTGACAATATATTCAATGTGCTAAAAGTAAAACAAAACTAAACAAAACAAAAACTGTCAACCAATCAATCAGGAATGTTTTGGCAAAATAAGGCCTTTATCTGTCATGGAAAAATTGACATAATTCATTTCTAGCACACCTATCTTATGAGAAATAGTAAAGAAAGTTATTTAGGGTGAAGAACTGATAATTATAGAGTAATTTGAATCTTCATACAAAAGGCACTGGTAAAAAATAATTATGTAATTAATTAGAGAAAATGGTATAGTTGTATAATCTTCTTTCTTCTCTTATTTGAAGAGCAACTACATAAAACAATATATAATTTACTTATTGAACCTATAATACGTGGAAATATAATTTATGTAACAATATTAATACAAGAAGAAAGGTAGGAACAAAGATGGATTGTATTAAGGATATAAATAATAACAGATGATACCTCATATCCAGAAGAAGAAACATAAATGTGTCCATATTTGTGACTTTTATTCAACATTGGATTTTAGGTTCTAGCAAGGCCAGTTTGGGAAATAAGTAAATAATAAATAAGTAAATACCATTTAGGTTGAAAATGAAGACTTAAAACAATTTTATTTTCAAATAATAGCATCTTACGTAGAGAAGATCCCAAGGAATATACTAAATATCTATTAGAAATAATAAGCAAGTTCACAATCTTTGTCAGAACACAGGATCAATATACAAATATCAATTGTATTTCTGTTTTCATTGAGTAATTAGAAATATTTTGATTGAGTAATTAGAAAATAAAATTAAGGAAATGACTTACTTTACAACAGCATCAAAAGAATAAAATTCTTCTGATAACCATACTTCTACTCTCTATGTCCAACTAAAAACTTAGTGAAAGAAGCACAACACTTTAGTACTGAAAAGTATAAAAGAAGTAAAAGTCATGCTATGTTTATAGAACAGAAAACAATATCGTTACCATAATATTGCCCAAGTTGGTCTATAGATTAAATACAAATCCAATCAAAATCACATCTTGCTTTTTTTTGCAGAAATTGTCAGATGCTCCTAAAATTTATATGAAAATTCAAGACACTCATAACAGCCAAAACAATCTTGAAAAAGAAAAAACAAATTGAAAAGTCACAGTCAACTATAAAACTATAGTCATCACTTATTTGTAATACTAGCATGAAGGTATAAATATATATCAATAATTAGAAATTAGGGTATAGAAACAAACTCTTACATTTATGATCAATTTTTGACAACTACACCAAAATAATTCCATGGGAAAAGAGCACATTGTTTAGGTACCACTAGATATCTACATGCAAAAGCGTGAATTTGAATCCCTACTTCACACTATTTGGAGAACCTGAAATTAATAACCTCCTGAAGGGAGAAGTGATTGAAAAATGTGTGTTTATTGAGAGAAGGAGCAAGAAAAATAAAAAAGTCTAAATTCTCACTTTAATTATTTAACTTCTCATAGCTTCACTTCAATATCTCTAAGTCAGCTTGGAAACTGTTCAGAGTGAATAACTGGAATAAATAAAGATACACGGTGCTCATTATTTTTCAGATAAATATGATCAATGAGCGGATGTAGGTCTAAAGCATAAAAGCTGATTTTGATGCCTGACATTTTCAGACAGAGGAAATGGAAATAAAACCCAAATTGTTTGTATGTTCATGAGTCAGAAAAAATGACTGATTTAGTATTACTGTCACTTATTCAGGAGAAAATCAGCCATCATCATGATTACATTTGATGTGGGTCACATCCCCGTACTCAGTGAAAACAATGCGGGGTTGTTGCTGATCTGAGAAAGGATAATAGCACTCAGGGTCACTCAAAGAAGGAAAATTTTCTTCTCAAGCTATTAATCATTCTCAGTGGTCCTTTGTCTCAAGTATTTCATTCAAAATAAAATTGGTGTACCTTATAGAGATAGTGACCACAACAACAAAACATTCCCCTCCATCCTGAAACTACTGACAGGTTGCTTTGAGACTGACTATTTAATTACAGTTATACCTATTGCAAACTCCAGCTCTGCTCCAGTAGCTTGTAAGTCAGGTAGACAGAACATATATTATAGCACTAGGAGGAATAGGAATAAAACCGATCATACCATTAGTCTTCATGACTCTTGATTCACCTGACTGAATCTCTCCCTTCCTAAGTTTATATATTTATATAAAGTGATTAAGTAATCATAAATATTACCCACTCCCAAGAATACAAATCCCTCAAACAGGTACTCATAACCATGTAGGCAAGGCAATGGATTTGAGGAAATAAGAAAATGCACTGTAGTGTTCTAGATAAGGAATGTATACTCAAGCACATTCAAATTCTGATTTAAGCATATGGAGTTCAATTGAGAAAATTTCTGCCTCTTATTTAACTCAATGACAAGGTAATCATTTTTAAAAAGTATTTTCTCTTATGACATGATACTATCATCAGACACTTGATATTACAATTTTTCTCAAGAACACATATCCACGCATTATAGGTACACAGTCAATACAATTTGATAATATAACATAAATGTAGACTTTATTTTTAACTACACATTTACTTCATGTCAAAATATGGCTTGTGGGGAGGGTTCAAGATAGCTGACTAGAGAAATCAGATACTCACCTCCTCCACAAATAACAAAAATTGTGAAAAGATAGTCCTAATTTAAATAGAGCATCTAAGAAAGAGCACTAAAATTCAGCAGAGATGTGACAGTAAACACCTGAGGGATGGAAGAGGGAAGTAAAACAGACAGCTCAGCCAGAATTGTCCAGGAGCCTGGAGATGCTCTCCAGTTCAGGGAAGGAGTAAGTGAGAGATTCCCAGTGGTTCATATTTCCACTGTGGATTCCTAAACCCCTAACCATTGGAGAGTCCCTTGACCCTTACAGGCCCGAGCCTAAAGTAAGGAGCTGCCTGGAGTCCATGTGATGGTAGTGCTCCAGATGGGGAACTTACACCTGGTCCCACACACCGCTTGAGATTTAAGCAGCTACATGCCTGTCCCATTTTGAGAATCTAGTCCCTACCTGATTATAGTTTGCCTTCAGGCCCAGCAGAACCAGCATCTCCACATCTTCAGAACCCCACAGACATTCCCCCACATACACCTGGAGGACTGCAGAGGCACAATTCTGGCTGGACCCTACAGTGCAGAAGGGTCCCCAGCACTCTAGCCCACACAGAGTCCTGCACCCTGGGAAAAAGGCAGTACAGTGCCCTGGGGAGACTGTCCCTACGACAAAGGAAGCCAAAGCATGTGGTCTCCAGAGCCTGAGATTTGCCTGCCTGAGGCTGCTAAGAGCAACCCCAACCCCATAAGCATCTAGGTGACTGCACACTAGCAAGTTTCCTAAGGACAGTGTCCACACACACTGCCATGGCCACTGCTGCTGTCAAGGGCCAAAGTATGTGCTCTTCAGAGCCTGAAAGCCACCCACCTATCTGGGGCCACTCCCACTGATAGCAGCCTCTCTTCTACCAGTAGCGCAGCTGCTGTACACTAACGCATGCACTGAAGACAGGCTCTCCCCACACACTGCCACTGCCTCCACTGTCTCTAGGGCTGAAGTACATGCTCCTCAGAGCCTGAAAGCTGCTTGCCTGCCTGGGGCTGCCCTCATTGACAGCAACCCCATTCCCTCCAGCAGCATGGCTGCTATGCACTTAGATTGCACTGAGGTCAGCCTGTTTCCACCCACTACTATGGGTTGCCCCACCCTGCTCATCACAGCCTGTGCTCATGTGCACCGCCAGGGGTCCTGAGGACAAACCTGCCTGGCCTACCAACACCATCCCCAGTGCCTGAATATACTGACAGAGGTCTAGGGATCACCATCCCAGTCCAACACCATCTATGCACTCCTCTCAGGAAAATGAGGAGAAGTCCATTCAGCCTCCTGCTACCAACACTGTCACACACCTACACACTCCAACTGGGGGCCTGGAGATTGGCCAAAACAGCTAATCAAAACCACCGTTAACATTAGTGTGTGCCACCTGAGAGCCCAACCGTTATCCCGACACTGCTACTACCATTGTTCATGTTAAGGACATTGCCCACGGGCCTGAGGTCCTGCCCACCTGCTTGGCCCACTACTGCAACTGCCAGCACCTGAGAAATGTGCCTAGAGGCCTAGGAATCGGCCCACCTAAACCCACTAACACCAATGCCCCTGCAGACAGCACTGGGGCCTAAGGACAGACACACTTAGCCCACCACTGCCATCACCGGATTGGCTCACCTGCTGCCCCCATTCCCAGCAAAGTCTTGCCACAGCCTCCACTAACAAACAAACCAAGCCAATGAAGAAATCACAGATGCCACTGACACTGCTTATAGCAGGATAAATTATATGGAGGCTGCACTATTCCATGCATGTAGAATCAAAGCTAAAGTATTCTACCCAACCTTCGCCATAGGTGTATTTTCAGGAAAAAGTCGTTCACAAAAGTCAATCTAAAAACTTAGAAGAAATGATTATTACATTAGATGAACAGATATTAATGTAAGGAAACAAGAAACATGAAAAAGCATTGAAATATGACTCCTCCAAAAAACACAATAATTCTCCAGAAATAGATTCCAATAAAAATTATGAAGTGACAGAAAATGAATTCAAAAATATGACATTAAAGAACTTAGTGAGATAAAGAGAACACAGGTAAACAATACAAAGAAATCAGAAAAACAATTCAGAATATCAATGATAAATTCACCAAGGAAATAGATAGTATTTTAAAAATCATGGACCTAATAAACTCAATAGGAAAAAAAAATACATTTGAGAGCTCCAACAAAATACTCAAAAAAGCAGAAGAAATAATTAGAAAACTAAAAGATGGGTATTCTAAAACAACCCAATCAGAAAAAAAAATAAAGAAAAAGAAAAATTAATAAAGAATAATCCAAACCTCTCTGACATATAAAACACCATAGAATGACTGAATATTTAATTTTTTTTTTTGTATTCCAGAAAACAAAAAGAAGGTCAAATGCATAGAAAACCCATGTAACAAAATAGTAGCTGGAATCTTCCCAAATCTAACAAGTGGCTTAGACATATAGATATAGGACGCTCTGAAATCCTCAAATAGATGCAACACAAAAAGGTCTTCTTCACAAGTATGGACCATACATTAGGTCACAAAAAAAGTCTTAAAATATTCAAAAATTTGAAATATATCAAGCATCTTCTCTGATCCCAATGGAATAAAACTAGAAATTGATAACAAGAGGAATTTCTGAAACCATACAAACATGTGGAAATTAACCAATATGTTCCTGAATAAGCAGTAATTCAATAAAAAATTACAAAGGAAATTCAAAAATTTCTTGAAACAACTAATAGAAACACAACACCAAGGCTTATGGGATATAGTAAAAGCAGTACTAAGAGTAAAGTTTATAGCTACAAATTCCTACATTATAAAAGAAGAAAAACTTCAAATAATCAACCTAGTAATGTATTATAAAAAACTGGAAGTCAAGAGCAAACTAAATTCAAAATTAGTAGAAAAATAGAAATAATGAATGTTGCAGAAGAAATCAATTAATTTTATTAAAGAAAAAAATACAAAAGAACAATAAAACAAAAAGTTGACTTTTTGAAAAGATAAAGAAAATTGACAAACCTTTACCCAGACTAAGAAAAGGAAAGACCCAAATAAGTAAAATTAGGATGAAAAAGGAGACATTACAGCAGATACCACCAAAATTCAAAGGATCATTAGTGGCTAGTATGAACAACTATATGCCAATAAATTGGAAAATCTAGAAGAAATAGATAAATTCCTAGACACATACAATCTACCAAATTTGAATCATGAAGAAATACAAAACCTGAACAGACCAATAAAAAAGTAGTCAGATCAAAGCCATAATAGAAAATCTTCTACCCAGGATTTGATGGCTTCACTGCTAAATTCTAACAAACACTTAAAGAACCTCCTTAAACTATTTCAAAAAAAAAATTGGAGGAGTAGGGAATATTTCCAAACTCATTCTATAAAGCCAGTATTACCCTGATACCAAAATCAGACTAAGACACATCTGAGAAACAACACTATAGGACAATATCACTGGTGAATATTGAGCAAAATTCCTCAATAGAATACTAGCAAACCGAACTTTACAACCCATTAAAAAGATCGTTTCTCATGACCAAGTGGGATTTATCCCAGGGATGCAAGGATTGTTCAACATATGTGAATCAGTTAATGTGATACATCATATAAACAAAATATAAGACAAAAACCATATGATCATTTCAATTAATACTGAAAAATCACTTACAAAAATTAACATCCCTTCATGATTAAAAACCTTCAATAAACACAGTATAGAAGGGATGTACCTCAACAGAATGAAAGCCATATAATAGAGACCCATAGCTAGTATCAGATGAAATAGGAAAAAAGTGAAAGCCTTTTCTCTATGATCAGGAACACAACTAGGATGCCTACTTTCTCCACTGTTTTTCAACACAGTTCTGCAAATCATAGCTGGAGCAGTCATACAAGAGAAAAAATGACGAGCAACCAAATTGGAAAGGAAGAAATCACATTATCTTTATTTGTAGATGATATGATTTTAAATTAAAAAAACTAATGACCCCACTATAAAACTATTAAAACTGATAAACAGTAAAGTTTCAGGATACAAAATCAACAAAGAAAAAGCATTCTATATGCCAACAATGAACAATATGAAAAAGAAATCAGAAAAGTAACTCCATTTACAATAGCTACCAGTTAAATTAAATACACAGGAAATAACAAAAGTGAAAATCCTCTACACTGAAAATTATAAAACCTCGATAAAATAAATTGAAGAAGACACACAAAAATGGAAAGATATTCTACGTTCATAGGTCAGAGGATTCGATATTGTTAAAAATGTTTATACTATCCAAAGCAATCTACAGATTTAATGCAATCCCTGTGAAAACACGAATGACATTCTTCACAATAATAGCAGAAATCCATCCTAAAATGTATGTGAAACCAGAGAATACCCAGAGTAACCAAAACTATTCTAAGCAAAAAATATAAAACTAAAGAAATCACATTACCTGACTTGAAATTATACTACAGGCTATAGTACCCAAAGAAGCATGGTATTTGATGATGAGAGACACATACATCAGTGGAATAGAATAGGGAACCCATAGATAACTCCACACATCTACAGTTAACTCATATTAAACAAAGGTGCCAAGAACATACATTGGGGAAAGGACAGTCTCTTCTATAAATGGTGCTGGGAAAAGTACACATTCATATGCAGAAGAATGAAACTAGACTCCTATCTCTCACCACATACAAATGTCAAGTCAAATGTATTAAACACTTAAATCTAAGACCTGAAACTATGAAACTACTAAAAGAAGCATTGTGGAAACTCTCCAGGACATTGGACTTGGCAAAGAATCCTTGCCACAAGCAAAGGCAACCAAAACAAAAATGGACAAATCGGATCACATCAAGTTACAAAGCTTCTACACAGAAAAGGAAACTATCAACAAATGAAGAGACCGCCCAAAGAATGGGAGAAAATATTTGCAAACTACCTATCTGACAAGGGATTAATAACCAGAATATCTAAGAAGCTGAAACAACTTTATAGAAAAAAATGTAATAATCCAATTTAAAAAATGGGCAAAAGATCTGAAAAGACATTTCTCAAATGAAGACACATAAATGGCAAAAAGGCATATGAAAACGTTCTCAACATCATTCATCATCAGAAAAATGCAACTCCAAACTACAATGAGATATCATCTCACTCCAGTTAAAATGGCTTTTATCCAAAAGATAGGCAAGAATGTGAAGAAAAGGATGCTGGCAAGGATGTGAAGAAAAGGGAAGCCTCATACACTGTTGCTGGGAATGTTAATTATTACAACCAACCTGGGAAACAGTTTGGAGGTTCTTCAAAATAATAAAAAATAGAGTTACTGAGATCCAGATATCTCACTGCTAGGTATGTACCCAAAAGAAAGGAAATTAGTATATTGAAGAGATATGTGCACTCCCATGTTTATTGCAGTGCTCTTCACAATAACCAAGATTTGAAAGCGACCTAAGTGTCCATCAACAGATGAATGCATAAAGAAAATGTGGTGCATGTACACAATGGAGTACTATTCAGTCATGAAAAGAGTGAAATTCTGTCACTTGCTACAACATGGATGGAATTGATGGTCATGTTAAGTGAAATAAGTCAGACACAGAAAGACAAACTTTTCATATTCTCACTTATTTGGAGCTAAAGATTAAAATAATTAAATTCATATTGATAGGAACTAGAATGATGGAACACAGAGGCCGGGAAGAGTAGTGGGATGATGGTGGAAAAGTAGAAATGTTTAATGGTTATAAAATATAGTAAGAAAGGATGAATGAGACCTAGTATTTGCTAGCACACAGGATGACTATATTCAAAAATGATACAATTGTACACCTTAAAATAACTGAAATGCTGTAATTGGATTATTTGTGATACAAAGGATAAATGCTTCAGGTAATGGATTCCCTCCAAAAAATAAAAAATAAGAACATAAAAGTGAAATAAAATAAAATAGCTAAAAGAGTGTAATTTGATTGTAACAAAAGGGATAAATACTTGAGGTGATGGATACTCCATTTATCCTGATGTGATTATTATGCACTCCATGCCTCTATCAAAATATCTCAAATAAGCTATAAATATATATACACACTGTATACTCACAAAACAAAAGCAACAACAAAAAGAAGCCGGATGGTGGGGAACTTACTTACAGAGTATGAGGGAATATGATAAAAATTACATCTAACATTTCCTAAGAAACTATACAAATCAGAGTGGAATTAGTAAAATAATTAGTGTTGAGGGGAAAACAATCCCCAACCTAGAATGTCATATCCTGTGAAATTACCCTTTAAATGTGAAGCAACAATAAAGACTTCCTCAGTTTTTTGGCAGTAGATCTCACTTACAAGAAATGTTAAAAGAAGTTCCTCAAAGAGAATAAAAATAATGCAGGTAAGAAACTCTAGATCTACATAAAGAAAGTAAGGACATTAGAGACGAAATAAGTGAACTTAAAATACCAATTCTTATTTTTCTTATTCTTAATTGATTTAACAGAAAACAGGTCAAACTAATGATAGCAGTAACATATTTGATAATTACAGCTTATCTACAAGTGAAATGAGTGATAGAAATAATACAATGAGGAGGGAACGATAAATAGAAATATTTTGTTATTTATAAGCCTCTTGCACTCGTGGTGAAGTGGTATAGGGTCATTTAAAAGCAGACTTTTATTAGCTGCAAATATATACTGCAAACTCTGGAGCAACCACTAAAAGGAGGAAAAAAACACCAATAATTTATATTCTAAAAGAGGAGGGCATATGGAAACGTATAAAAAGTTCAATTAAAACCAAAAAAGAGAGAAAAAGAGAAAACAAACATCATCATAAATGACAAGGGCAACACATAGAGAACATTAACCTATATGATATGTATTAATCCAACTATATCAATAATTACTTTCAATTCTAATACCCTAAATATAACAATTAAAACAAAAATTTTCAAAGCGGATCAAAAAACAAGACTCAACTACTTGTTGTCTATAAAAACTCACATTAAATATAAAGACACATATAGATTAAAACTGAAGAGATGAAGAAAGATATACCATGCTAACCCTAATCAAAAGCAAGCTGGATAGATAATGTTAGAGCAAACTTTACAGCAAATAAAATTAATGGGGATAAAGGTGGCATTACTTATAGATATAAACCTAAATTTTCTACTAAGCAATAATAACTTTTATTTTGTATGTACGTAACAACAGAGTATGGGAGGCAAAATACTCATGTGAGGCAACAACAATATATGTAAGGCAGAAACTGATAGAACTGTAAGAAACAATAGATAAATCCTTTATGGGGACTTCAACACCCCTCCATCATAAATGAACTAATCCTGCCATCAGGAAATCATTAAAGACATTAGTGAACTCAAGATCATCAATGAACTGGATATAATTGACATCTATAGACTACTTCATCCAATAACAATAGAATACACATTCTTCTTAAGCTTACATAAAACATTCACCAAGATCGACCATATGCTGAACCATAAAATGCACCTCAACTTATAATAATAAAATTACACAAAGTATGCTCTCAGACCAAAATGTAATTAAACTAGAAATCAATAATTGAAAGAAAGCTTAAAAATCTCAAAATACTTGTTAAACATCACACTTCTAAGTAACATATGGGTCAAAGAAAAAAATCTCAAGAGATATTAAAATATTTTGAAATAAATGGAAATAAAAACACAAGTTATCAAAATTTGAGGAAAGCAGAAAAAAATCAGTGATTAGAGATAAATTTATAACATTGAAGGCATATATTAGAAAATAAGAAGCATCTGAAATCTTTTACTTTAAGAAAGTAGAACAGGGCACGTTAAATTCAAAGTAAGCAGAAGAAAAAAGTAATAAAAATATGGAATAAATCAATAAAATTTAAAATAAGGAAATTGAGAGAGAAAAATCAATGAAACCAAAGGCTGGTTCTTTGAAAACCTAGATAATATTGATAAGCTTCTAGCCAGGCTTACAAAAAAAAAATCAAGAGAAGATAGAATAAAAAATAAAAGCGGGGATATCAATACGGTCATATGGCTATTAAAACAATAATAAATAGTGTGAACAATGTTATTACCACAAATTTGATAACAAATGAAATGGACTAATTTCAAGTCTTAAGTCTGTAGCCTGAGAAGCAGTGAGTGCCAATGGTGTAACTTCCAATCCAAGGGCAGTATGTACCCACTGGTTCTCAGGCTACAGAATTACAAGAGTGGTTACAAGAGTGGTTTTTTTCTGCACAGGAAATTATGTCACCTTTGAACAAAGATTTTTCTTTCTATCTTCCCAACCTGTTTGCCTTTCACTTCCCTTTCTTATTGCATTAGCTAGTATTTTCAGTACAGGGTGGAAAAAGAGCAGTGGTAGAGGAGGACATCTTTTGGTGTTCCTGATATTAGCAAGAAAACATCTAGTTTTTGATCATAAGTATGATTTTAGCTATATGTTTTCTAGATGTGTTTAATCAACTTAAGGAATTTTTTTTTATTCCTAGTTTGCTCAGAGTTTTATCATGAATGAATTTTGAATTTCATCAAATGCTTTTCCAGAATTTATAGATATAATCGTGTGATTTTTTTTAACCTGTTGATATGATGGATTACATTAATTGATTTTCAAATGTTGAGCCAGCTTTTCCTACCTGGTATAAACCCTACTTGATCATGAGGTATAATTTTTATGCATTCTTGGATTTTATTTGTTAATATTTTGTTGAGGATTTTTGCAGCTATGTTCACAAAAGATATTGGCCTGTAGTTTTCTCTTCATGTAATGTTTTTGTCTAGTTTTGATATTAGGGCAATGTTGGCTGCATAAAATGAGTTAGACATACTGCCTTTGCTTTCATCTCCTGAAAGAAATTGTAGAGAATTGGGCTAATTTTTTCTTTATTTTATTTTTCAATTAATGAAATAATTAGAGACAGAGCCTTGCTCTTTTGCCCTGGCTGAAGTGCAGTGGTATAATTACAGGTCATTGCAGCTTTGAACTTTGCACTCAAGTGATCTTCTCACTTCAGCCTCCTGAGTAGTTGGCACTACAAGTGTATGCTACCATACATGGCTAATTGCTTTTAATATTTTTATAGATATATGAATCTCACTATGTTGCCAAGGCTTGCCTTAAATCCTGGCTTCATATGATCCTCTCTCCTCATCACCCTAAAGCCCTGGAATTAACTACAGGTATGAACCACCAGAACTAGCCAGTTTTCTTAAATATTTGCTAGGTTTTTCAGTGAATTCATCTGAGACTGGATCTTTGTTTTGGGAGGTTATTATTGATTCCATTTTTTAAATAAATACAGGTTCATTCAGTTTGTCTGTTTCTTCTTGTATGAATTTTGGCAGATGTATTAGTCCATTCTCACACTGCTAATAAAGACATACCCAAGACTGGTTAATTTATAAAGGAAAAAGGTTTAATTGACTCACAGTTCAGCATGGCTGGGGAGGCCTCAGAAAACTTACAATCATGGAGGAAGGGGAAGCAAACATATCCTTCTTCATATGGTGGCAGCTGGGAGAAGTGCCCAGCAAAATGGGAAAAGCTCCTTATAAAAGCACCAGATCTCATGAGAAATCACTCACTATCATGAGAACAGCAGCATGGGGGAACTGCCCTTACGATTCAATTATCTCCACCTGGTCCCTCCCATGATATGTGGAGATTATGGGAATTACAATTCAAATTGAGATTTGGGTGAGGACACAGCCAAACCATATCAGCAGAGTAATAGCTAATTTTTTTTTTTTTTTGAGACAGAGTCTCACTCTGTCACCCAGGCTGGAGTGCAGTGGCATGATCTCGGCTCACTGCAATCTCTGCCTCCTGAGTTCAAGTGATTCTCCTGCCTCAGCCTCCTGAGTAGCTGGGACTACAGGCACCTGCCACGACGCCTGGCTAATTTTTGTAGTTTTAGTAGAGACAGAATTTGACCATATTGGCCAGCCTGGTCTCGAACTCCTGACCTTGTGATCCACCTGCCTCAGCCTCTCAAAGTGCTGGGATTACAGGCATGAGCCACCACACCCAGCCATAATAATTAATTTTGTATGTCAACTTCATTGGGTGAAGATGTGTTTAGATTAAATATTGTTCCTGGGTATGTCTGTGAGGATGTTATAGAATGAGAGGACCATTTAAATTTATGAACTCAGTAAAGTAAATTGACCTCCCTAATATGGATGGACTTCATCCAATATGCTGAGCATTTAAATATAATAAATTTACTCCTTTTACTTCCTTGACTGCCTGCTTAATTAATAAGCAATTATAGCAAGATTGCTGGACATTTATTGCTTTCCTATCTCAGCAATGAACAAGTAAAATTTGAATCTGAAACCAAAATACCATTTACATTAGCAGCCTCCAAAAATGCTTAGCTATAAATCTAACAAAACATGTAGATATTAGTTCATTTTCATACTGCTATGAAGAAATACCTGAGACTGAGTAATTTATAAAGAAAAAGAGGTTCAATGGAATCACAGTTCTACATGGCTGGGGAGGCCTCACAATCATGGCAGAAGGTGAAGGAGGAGCAAAGGCACGTCTTACATGGTGGCAGGCAAGAGAGCATGTGCAGGGGAACTGCCCTTTATGAAACCATCAGATCATGTGAGACTTATTCACTATTATGAGAACAGCACAGGTAAAATCCGCCCTCATGATTCAATTGCCTCCCACTGGGTCCCTCCCTGACACATGGGGACTATGGGAGTTACAATTTAAGATGAGATATGGGTGGAAATGCAGCCAAACCATATCAATATACAAGATCTATATGAGGACAATGACAAAACATTAATGAAATAAATTAAAGAACAAAGTAAATGAAAATATAGTCCATATTAATGAATAGGAAGAGTCAATAGAGACAAGAACTAAGTTCTTCCAAATTGTATCTACAGATCCAATTCAATCTCTATCAAAAGTGCAGCATGTTACTTTGTGGGTATCAAGAAAGTGATTCTAAAGTTTTACATGGAGAGGAAAAAGACCCAAAATAGCAAACAGAATATTGAAGATAAAAACAAAGTAGAAAGACTCACACTATCTGACTTCAAAATTTACTGTAAAACTATAGTAATATAAAAAGTATTGTATTTGTGAAAGAATAGACAAATAAATGTAACAAAATAGAGGGTCCAGAAATTGACCCACATGAGTTTAGCCAACTATCTTTGAAAAGGAAGCAAAATAATACAATGGAGTAAATACAGCCTTAAACAAATAGTACTGGAACAACTGGACTTCTACATTAAAGAAATGAACTTAGATTCAGATATTACACTCTTCACAAAAATAAACTCAGAATGGATTATAGATTCAAATGCAAAACACACAACTACAAAACTCCTAGAAAATAATGTTGAAGAAAACCTAGATGATTTGGGTATGGCAATGACTTTTAAGATCCAGCACCAAAGGCATGATCCGTGAAAGAAATTACCTGTAAGCTGGGCTTCATTAAAATTAAAAACTTCTTCTCTGTTAAAGGCAATGTCAATAGAAAGAGAAGATGAGCAACATACTGAGAGAAAATATTTGCAAAAGACCCATATGAAAAAGGACAGTAATCCAAAATGTATAAAGAACTCTTAAAATCAACAATAAGAAAACAACTAAAACATGACACAAACTTAACAGTTACCTCAAAAAAGAAATATACCAGTGACAATCAAGCATATTTGTACATGTTCCACATCATGTGTCATCAGGGAGATGCAAATTGAAACACCTAAATACGACACACCTATTAAGATGGCTAATACCAAAAATTAACACCACCAAATGCTGACAAGAATGTGTAGCATCAGGAAATCATATTCATTGCTGTAGAGATGAAAAATGGAGCAGCCACTTTGGAAGACAGTTTGGTGCTTTTTAAAAAAGCTTACTATAGGATCCGGCAATCACACTTCTTGGTATTTACACAAAGGAATTGAAAAGTATTTCCACACAAAACTGCACACGGATGTTTATAACAGCTTTATTTGTAATTTCCAAAAACTTGGAAGCAACGAAGATGTCCTTTAGTGTGGGAACATATAAATAAACTGTGAACCATTCAGACAAGGGATTATTGTTCAGCACACACACACAAAAATAAATGAGATGTCAAACCATAAAATTACATGGAGGGACCTTAAACGGATATTACTAAATGAAAGAGGCCAGTCAGAAAATGCTAGATACTGTATGATTCCAACTATATGGCTTTCTGGAAAAGGCATATCTGTAGAGACAGTTCAGTCATTGCCAAGGTTTGGGGGAGGGAGGAATAAATAGGTGGAGCACAGAGAATTTTTAGGGCAGTGAAAATACAATGTATAATACCATAATGGTGGATATACATCAATATACATTTCTCCAAACCCACAGAATGTACACACCAAGAGTGAGCTCTAATATAAACTGTGGACTTTGGGTGATAATGATATGTCGATGTAGATTCACTGAGTGTAACAAATGTACCACTTTGGTTGGAGATGTTTATAATGGCAGAGGCTAGATTTGTGTGGAAATAGGGGATATATAGAAAACCTCTGTACCTTTTTCTTAATTTTACTAGGAACTGTAAAATATGAAGTCTTAAAAAGTCTATCTAGACACAGCATTTGCAACATTCACGAAACTTGACTCAAGATGGTTCATGAACAGAAATATAAAATGCAATAGTATTTTATTATTTATTTTAGCAAACTTGTTTTTGAGGTATTGCAAATTAAAAGAATAATGAAATACTACTACGTACCTATTGAAATGTCTAAAAACTTACGATAATAAATGCTGGAGAGGTTGCTTAACAATTTAAACTCATTGATTGCTAATGGAATACAAAATGGTTGAGGTACTTTGGAAGACAAGCAGTCTCTTACAAAACTGTATGATCACAGTCACCACATGACCCAATAGTCATGCTCCTAGTTATTATCAAATTTATTTCATAACCTATAATCACATAAAAATCCAAGCATAATGTTTATTGCAGCTTTATTTATAATTGCCAAGAGCTGGAAGCAAACAGATGAGCTATCAAACCATGAAAAGACAAAAAATATTAAATGCTTCTTGATAAAGAATCCTAAGGTTCCAATTGTATAACATTCTGGAAAAGGTAAAATTATAAAGACAAAGTAACCCATGGTTATCAGGGCTTTAGGGGTAATAAAGAGGTAGAAACAAATAAAGATCAAGGGATTTGGGTTACAGTAAAGTTTTTCTGTGTGATGCTATAGCAGTGAATGCAAGCCATTATGCATTTGTCAAAACCTGTAGAACTTTACTGCACGAAAACTGGTCCATGTGCAAATTTAAAAACATAATTTAGGTGGTCAAAGGGTCACTTAAAAATGCAGAGTGTGACAGGATATTCTAAATGTATTACAAACACATAAAGCAAACTCACTTAATGGGAGAGGGAGAAAAGGTGCTGACTCAAGCAACTTTGCAAATGAGTAGGATCTGTAAGCATAAGACTATGAGAACTGCACATGAGCACTGTAATCTAGTTGATAAAATAGTTTCCCATGGGTGTATGAGCTAATGGCTCTGCTATACATGTATAATGGAATTAAACATTTAATTAAATACATGACTGATGGAAGGAATCAGTCTTCTTATAGTTGGAGTAAGTTTATAGATAAAGAAAGAAATAAAAACCTATCCATATGGTATTGGATGAGAACTGTAAACGTCAGCATGACCTCACGTTTAGCTTAATATAGATACAGATGGTTACATATACAACTATTGATAGATATGTGTATATACAAAAGTTATCATACACAAGTATTTTTTTCTCTGTCAGCTGAGTGAGCCTAAAAGAAGTGATACATGAGTAGCAATGAGCACACTTAGTGGCTGAATAATGATTTCTAATACCATTCTCCAACAAAGGCACCAGGGCTCATTGGAGAAGTGGCTGGTTATAGGACTAGGATAGGAAATATACAAGATAAGTGTGTAGCATCTTGTAGTGCCGAGAAGCAAGAAAATGCTCACAACATATATACAAACGTACATAAATACATGCACATACACACGTACCAGGATGGGGGTATATCAAAGAAGCACAGGAGTCAGCTGAAATAGGCTCCAGTGTCAAAATGTAGATAATTTTAAACAAAAAATAAATAAAGTAGCACTAGATTTTAATCCACAGTATACAATAAATCTCTATAAATTTATACTGATATAAATATATGATTAAATATATTAATTAATGGAAATGAATTATGAGTTTCCCATGCAGAGAATTCCTAATAATTTATGTAGACACCCTGCCCTCAAGGACGGGATGCAAATACTCTTGTTTGTGGTATGCACATAGTGACTTCCTTCCAAAGTGTATAATATAGAAAGGAGGGAAAATAGTACATTTACAGTGGTGGAGCAACGTAACAAAGTTTACCTCAGGCAGTCAGTCAAAGTCAACATCGACAGTCATAAATCATTTTGATGATATGGATTCTTGATATTGATGAAAATGGTACTCTACCTCTGTGGTCTTCCTCCCAATAACTCATAACCCATGATTTAAAATTAGAAAAACATCAAACAAATTGGAATAATAAACATTTCACAAAATGCTTGACTAATACTCCTTAAAACTTCTTTTTTTTTTTTTTTTTTTTGAGACGGAGTTTCGCTCTGTCTCTAGGCTGGAGTGCAGTGGCGCGATTTTGGCTCACTGCAACCTCCAACTCCCTGGTTCAAACAATTTTCCTTCCTCAGCCTCCTGAGTAGCTGGGATTACAGGCATGTGCCACCACGTCCAGCTAATTTTTTTTGTATTTTTAGTAGAGACGGGGTTTCACCATGTTGGCCAGGATGGTCTCGATCTCCTGGCCTCGTGATCCGCCCGCCTTGGCGTCCCAAAGTGCTGGGATTACAGGCATGAGCCACCGCGCCAGGCCTAAAACTCCTTAAAACTGCTAAGTTAATCAAAAACAAGTAAAGTCTTAAAAACTGCCATAGCCAAGAGGACCCTAAAGAGAAATGACAACTAAATGTAATGTGTTATTCTGTATGAAATCCCTAAAGAGAAAAAAAAATACATTAGGTAAAAGCTAAGGAAATCTAAGTGAATTATGGAATTTTGTTAATATCAATTCATCAATATTGGTTCATTAATTGTAATACATGTGTCATAATAATGTAAGGTGTTAGTAGGTGAAATTGAGTTCAGAGTGTATGGGAATCCTCTGTACTGTCTTTTCAGGTTTCCTGTAAATATGTAAGTGATATAAGAATAAAGTGTACTAAAAATGATTACATCATTGACTAACATGTAAAGATTAAATAAATATGTTACATAATATTTCCAGAATAAGAGTAATCCAGGAATTTTTTTTCAAGAAAGTAGGACTTCAGCTGAACCTTGGATATAAAATGGACAAGATGATTATTACCTATGTGAAAAAGTAAAAATATTTCTGAATCATTTGGCCCACTGAATTTTGTCAAATTGATCATTACTATTTTCTAATATTCACTAATACACATTTTTCTCTAGTATTTATAAACTCTTTGAAGACAGGGCATGTTTTTATTCCATAAATTGCCTAATACTGTATCTTGAATAAATGCTTCTCAAGAAATATTTGATGACTTCAGATAAACACATATGTTTAAATGTAAGCTATAAAGTATCCCTTATCTATGCTAAAACATGTAATTTTTCTAATAATTTCAGAAATAGATTAGAATATCAATATTGTTCTGTGTTAATAGGGTCCCAGCATGGTTCTATTAACAGGTGACTTTTTAAGGATAATGTGCAGATTGGTTTTGTTTTATGGTTTCCTTATTTTTTTTTAATACAGATTCTAATTATCTGTTCTTAGGGCAGCTTCAGAAATTTGTGTTTTTAAAATGTCCTTAAGGTGATTCTGATTAGCAGCTAGGTTCAAGATTCACCGATTTATAATTTTGCCTGACAGTGTTAATTTTTGTGGGGAGAGATTCTGCCCAAGCTGACAGGTTCCTAACACCTAGAGAAGTTCATTGGAATGCCTGAAAAATGTGAAAAGAATATTAATTTTAAGCTTAACACTCAGTATGTTTTCACTGTTTTTAAGATCGGCATTTTGTTATTCTCTATTCCTGACATATATGGTTAATTATTTTCCCAACAGATTTGAGTTGCACATACTCTGTATGTATTAGGAGGTAACATTTTAATTCACATTTATTAAAACGTTATTTATTTCTGTAGTTCTAGTGCTATGAATCTATGGAGAGAAATTAGTATTGAGAGTGTCAAAACAAATAGTCCAGAATAATACGACAAAATTTAAAATAAATATATCAATTTATTCCATAAAAACCTTTTATTTTGCTCTTTTATGTGTCATAGATTTGTTTTCGTTTTTTGAGGAAGACTATAGTAGGGTCAGTATCTTATCATTTTCTTTCACCTTCATTTGCAAGATTTAATTTAAAATGTTACAGCATTGGCTGTCAATATGAGACCCTGAACATGAAAAAAAATGGATAAAGAGGTTGATCACAGCAAAATAGAAAACCTAAGATTCGTGACAGAAAAAGTGACCAGATCATAGGAAATGTTCAGGTAGCTCATGCATGGCTTTTGATAACTGGGTCTTTTTCTGGATATAGTTGAAAGATAAACATAAGTTGAAACTGACACCACTGGAAAGGATAGGAAAAGAACACTTCTTCATCTATTTATTACTACATTTATTCCATTTCCAAGGTAGAAAAAATGATTACCTAATTGAAAAAAAAAAACTACAGAAACTTGCAACAAGGCATGTCCTAGGAAATCTTGAGACACAGGGCTAGTGAGTGAAGTTCTCAATGGAACTGAAGTTTCTAATGTGTGTGGGCTTGACCAAATCAGACCTTCTACAAGATGTAATAATGGTAAACAACATTTCTTTAATATCCATGAACATCTTTCTTTTGTCTAAGTAATACACCACCACCCATTCTTCCTTGCCAAAATTTGGCATTGAATATTGAAATGAAAACTATTATTTTTCTCTTTGGTTCTTACCATAGTCCATTTGTGTTGCCATAAAGGAAAACCTGAGGCTGCGTAATTTATTTAAAAAATAAGTTTATTTGGCTCACATTTCTGCAGGGTGTACGAGAACCATGACACCAACATCTGTTTCTGATGAAGGCCTCAGACTACTTCTACTCATGATGAAAAGTGAAAGGGAGCTGAGCTGTGCAGAAATTTCATGGTGAGACAGGAAGCAGAGAGAGAGAGACAGAGAGACAAAAAGACAGATAAAGTGGGGAAGTGCTAGGCTCTTTTAAACAACTAGCTCTCACAGGAACTAATAGAGCATGAACTCACTCATTACCAGGAGGACAGCACCTAGCCACTCATGACGGATCCACTCCACGACCCAAACACCTACCATTTGACCCTACCTCCAACACTGGGGACCAAATTTCAACATGAGATTTGGAGAAACAGACATCCAAACTATGGCAGCTCCCTTGATCCTTTCTCTCTTATAGTAGAAGATAGGACTTATTTAATATTTCATTACATCACAAGTGTGAGTTCTGAAGCTAAGGTTAGGTTTTACTTTAATTCATCTATATTTATACCTACATAACTTAGAAAATATGAGTTTCTAGTGCAGTTCATACTAACTTACTAGAGTTCAATATTTACTTTTAGACTCGAAACCCTAACATTCAATCGTGTTCGTTTTTCATTCTTTGCGTTTTTATGTATTTATCTTTCTCAGAGACCTCACAAGAAGAAACAATGTCAAGGCTAAGATTTAGTATCGCTAGTTTGCTGGCTAAATATCACCTAAATACCACTCAATTTCAATAGGCATAATCATGAATGAAAGTGACTAGAATGAATGGCCTAGCTGTTTATTCAATATCCTGAATGTATGCTCTTGGGATCACGGTTGTGTGAAGGAAACGCAAAAAAATTAATGAGAAAAAAACAGTGAATGTGAAGGTATACAGCTTACTGCCCGGAACCAGTTATTTTCTTATAATAAAAGTAGGTTTCCAGGATGAAAGTCTCATTCAACACTCATTCCAGAAGACCACACTCTGTATTTGCTTTATAGTAATTGCTTATTGACCTACGAAACCCAAGTGACATTTGATTCTCTTATTAATGATAATACCAGAAAATCATACAAATAGAGTGGACTTCAAATTTACCTAACTTACTTACTGCCTCAATTTTAAAACTAAAAAAGAATTGCAAATGAAGAATTTCAATCCCAGAAATTTAAGTGAGTCACAACTATGACTTTGTCAGCACAGCAGGGACTATAGCACATTCTCCCAGTTCTGACTGTTTTCCACTAAACCTCACTGCTTTGTTGGCGTTGCAAGAGTTAACATTAAAATGTGAAATATAAGCTTGCTAACAATGAATCCTAATTACTAAAGACACTGTAAGAAGCATAGCAGAACCAAGAG
This sequence comes from Homo sapiens, assembly GCF_000001405.40. NCBI lineage: Eukaryota > Metazoa > Chordata > Mammalia > Primates > Hominidae > Homo > Homo sapiens. The sequence goes on along the minus strand of NC_000024.10, from coordinate 3,310,014 downwards.
AAGATTGTGCTGCTACCCTTAAACATAGGGACAAATTTTCTGACAACAGAGTACTTTAGAGTAAGAAATATTCTTCAGCTACAGTGTTATTACTTTTACTTTTTTAAGCTTATAGAAATTAAATATGCACATAGCTTAATAAATCAAATAGCTTTATAATATTTGGTGAGAAAAAAAATAGCTCACCCCCTCATTCCCCACTTATACCTTCCCAGAGACATTTTCAACTATTTTAGAAAATATTTTAAATGTTAACCTCCATTTCTTTAAATAAGATTGAATATTGCTATATTAAACTATTCCTGCAATGGTATGAAGAAATACCTAAGACTGACTAATCTATAAAAAGAGATTTAACAGGCTTATGGTTCTGCAGGCTGTATAGGACGCATAGCAATATCTGCTTCTGGCGAGGCCTCAGAAAGCTTCTAATCATGGTGGAAGGCAAAGACAGAGCAGGCATATCAGGTGACCAGGACAAGAGCAAGAGAGTGAGAGATTCTGAGGTGAGGGTGTAACATACTTTTCAACAACCTGATCTCATTAGCATGCAGAGTGAGAGCTCACATATTACCATGGAAATGGCCCAAGCCATTCATGATGGATCCACCCCACGATCCAAATATCGCCAACCAGACCCCACCTCTAAGACAGGGGATTACATTTCAACATGAGATTTGGGTAGGGACAAATATTCAAACTATATCAATTGATATTTATTGATTTTATAATTTTGGACATTAGCCATTGAATTGTCACTGTGGAATATAAATATTTAGCTGTATTTTTCATCCCCATTTTGCAATATACATGTGCACATTTCACAGTCACCTATGAATATAATTTTATTATGGTTTTATTTAGATCATCAAGATTTTGCCTCCTTACTTTATGAATATTACTGGCAACTTATAACATAGTCTGGATACTTTTTCTTTTGTGGACTTTATTTTATTTTGCCTGGAATTAATTATTGCTTTGCTTATTTTTTATTTGTTTCAGTGGATTTATATATTTTTTACAGCTGTGTTAAGGTATTTTTGACCAATAGAAATTTTATATGTTTACAGAGTACAATATTACATTTTGATATATATATATACACATTATGAAATGATTAAATCAACTAACATATCCATCACGTCACATACTTATTTATTTTGTGATGAGAATATTGAAGATCTACTCTCCTAGCAACTTGCTAGTATGGTATATGTATTAGGCCATTCTCACATTGCTGCAAAGAAATAACTGAGACTGAGTAATTTATAAAGAAAAGAGTTTTAATTGGCTCTTTTAAATGTTAAGAATTTTAAATGGCTCTGTGAGCCATTTAATTGGCTCACAGTTCTGCGGGCTATACAGGAAGCATGGCCAGCATCTGGGGAGGCCTCAGGGAACTTTATTCATGGTGGAAGGCAAAGAGGGAACAGGCATTTTACATGGCAGGAGCAGGACCAAGCTGGGGAGGAGGTGTTAAACACTTTTAAATAACAGGGTCTCATGTCATGAGAACAGCACCTATAGGATGGTGCTAAACTATTCATGAAAGATCCACCACCATGATGCAATCACCTGCCACAAGACACTATGACCAACACTGGGGATTACAATTTGACATGACATTTGAGCAGTGACACCATTTAAATTGTATCCCTATACATTATTATCAAATAGTCAACATGCTCCACAATAGGCCTCTGAAACTTATTCATTCTAACAGAAATCTTTTACCCTTTGACAAACATCTACCCATTCTCCCATCCCATCGCCAAAGAGGACTTTGAGTCACCACTATTGCACTCTCTGCTGTTATGAGTTTGACGTTTTAAGAATTAACATATAAGTGAAATTATGCAGTATTTGTTATTCTGTGACTGGTTTACTTAACATCCTACAAATTTATCCCATGATTTAACAAATGTCATTCACTAGTCCCTTTTTTTTAAGGCTCAATAATATTATCTTGTGTATATATACCATGTTTTCTTTATCCCGTAGGCAGAATATAATTGGATCTTTTTTTTTTTTTTGATGGATTCAATCCCTCCATGACATTTTATTGGAGACTTTAATACATTTACATTTAAAGTAATTATTTATAGGTAAGAACTTAACTATTGTCATTTTCTTAATAGTTTTCTCAATGTTTTTGTTGTTCCTTTGTTTCATTCTTCTTCACATGTGCTCTTCGTTTGTGATTGATGATTTTTCTGCAGTGGTATGCTATGATTTGATTCTGTTCTCTATTTTTGGTGCGTCTACTACAGGTTTTCTCTTTGTGGTTACCATAAGGCTTACAAAAAATTTATGGTTAAATCAGCCTATATTAAGCTGATAACAACTTCCTTTAGACTGCATACAAAAAACTCTACATTTTAACTTTTCCTTCCTCTACCTTTTGCATTGTTAATGCTGCAATTCACATCTTTTATATATAATGTATTCATTAACATATTATTGTACCTATCATTATTTTAATACTTTCTTCTAATTTTTGTGACAATTAAAAATGATGTATACTTTTATATGACAATTAAAGTTATAATATACACCGTTACAGTATTAATGTGCTCTGAATTTAACTATATTCTTACTTTTATAGTGAGCTTTATAATTTTATAAATATTTATGGTATTAGTTTGCATCCTCTTATTTCAACTTGAAAAACTCCCCTTAGCATTTCTTTTTTTAATATATATTTTCAAATTTTATTTCAGATTCAAGGGGGTACATGTGCAGGTTTGTTGCATGTATATTGCATAATGATGATGTTTGAAGTACAATTAATCCCATCACCCAGGTAGTGAGCATAGTACCCAGTAGTTCATTTTTCAAGCCCTGACCCCTCCGTCTCTCCCCTCTCTAATATTGCTATCTTTATGTCCATGAGTACCCAGTGTTTACCTCCCGCTTATAAATCAGAACATGTGGTATTTGATTTCTTGGTCCTACATCAATTAGCTTAGAATAATGGCCTCCAGCTGCACTGATGTTGCTACGAAATACATGAATTCATTCTTTTTTATAGTTGCATAGTATCTCATGGTGTCTGTGTACCCCATTTTATTTATACAATCCATCATTGATGGACCTCTAGGTTGATTCCATGTCTTTGGTACAGTGAACAGTGCTGTGATAAATACACAAATACATGTGTCTTTTTGATAGAATGATTTATTTTCTTTTGGATATATACCCAGTAAGGGATTCCTGGGTCAAATGGCAGTTCTGTATTAAGTTCTTTGAGAAATCACAAAACGGTTTTTTCACAGTGACTGAACTACTTTACATTCCCACCAACAATGTAGAAGCATTCACTTTTCTCTGCAGCCTCACCAACATTTGTTGTTTTTTGACTTTTTAATAATAGCCCTTGTGGGCCGGGCTCGGAGGCTCATGCCTGTAATCCCAGCACTTTGGGAGGCCGAGGCGGGTGGATCACGAGGTCAGGAGATTGAGACCATCCTGGCTAACACGGTGAAACCCTGTCTCTACTAAAAAAATACAAAAAACTAGCCGGGCGTAGTGGCGGGCACCTGTAGTCCCAGCTACACAGGAGCCTGAGGCAGGAGAACGGCGTGAACCTGGGAGGCAGAGCTTGCAGTGAGCAGAGATGCACTCCTGCACTCCAGCCTGGGTGACAGAGGGAGACTCCGTCTCAAAAAAAAAAAAAAAAAAGAAAAGAAAAATAGCCATTGTAACAGGTGTGGAATAATATCTCATTTTGGTTTTGGTCTGCCTTTCTCTGATGAGTAGTGATGAGCATTTTTTATATTTTTTGGCTAGTTTTATGCCTTTTGAGAAGTGTTTGTTCGTGGAATTTGCCCATTTTTAATGGGATTTCTTTTTGCTTGTTCAATTGCTTACATTCCTGATACATTCTGGATATCAGACCTTTGTCAGATGCATAGTTTGTGAATATTTTCTCCCATTCTGTATGTTGTCAATTTACTCTATTGATAATGTCTTTGCTTGTGCACAATCTTATTAGTTTAATTAGGTCACACTTGTCAATATTTTTGTTGCAATTGCTTTTGAGGATTTAGTCATAAATTATTTCCCAAGGCCAATATTCAGAATGGTGTTTTCTAGATTTTCTTCTAGGATTCTTATAGCTTGAGCTCTTACATTTAAGTGTTTATCTTCAGTTAATTTTTGTACATGAAGAAATTTTGTACATGAAGAAATGAGTTAATTTTTGTACATGAAGAAATTACGTTTCTGCATATGGCTAGCCAGCTATTCCAGCACCATGTTTTGAATAGGACGTCCTTTCCTCATTGCAGATTTTCATTAACTTTGTTGAAGATCAGATGGCTGTAGATGGCATGTCTTAGTTTCTGCATTCTCTCTTCTGTTCCATTGGTCTATGTGTCTGTTTTTGTACCACTACTATGCTGCTTTGGTTACTGTAGCCTTGTAGTATAGTTTGAAGTCAAATAATGTGATCCTTCCGGCTTCGTTCTTTTTGCTTAGAAGTGTTTTGGCAATTTGGACTATTTTTTGGTTTCATATAAATTTTAGAATAGTCTTTTTCTAGTTCTGTAAAAAAATGATGTTGGTATCTTGATAAGAATAGTGTTGAATCAAAGCATAGCCATTTTAATGATACTGACTCTTCCAATCCATGATTATGGATCACGTTTTTTCATTTGTTTGTGTCATCTATGATTTCTTTCAGCAGTGTTTTGCAGTTCTCCTTGTAGAGGTCTTTCACTGCCTTGATTAATTTTGATCAGTTTTCATGGTAGATATCTTTCACTTTCATTATGGTAAGCCCTATGCATTTTATTTAATTTGTAGCTATTGTATAAGGGATTACTTTCTTGATTTATTTTTCAGATTGTTCATTGTTGGCATGTAGAAATGCTACTGATTTTTGTATGTTGATTTTATATCCTGCAAATGTACTATTAATAATAGTCTTTGATGAAGTCAAAATGCCACTTGGTCATGATAGATGATCTTTTCAATGTGTTGTTGAATTCGTTTTGCTAGTATTTCCTTGAAGATTTTTGCATCAATGTTCATTAGGGATATTGGCCTGTAGTTTTCTTTCTTTGATGTGTCTTTGTCTGAGTGGGGTATCAGGGTAAAAGATTTTTCATGGTAATTAGATTTTTCCAAATATAAGGTCATATCACTGACAAATAAGAATGTCTCTCTTTCCAATTTGGATGCCCTGTATTTTTTCTCTTGTGAAATTTCTCTATCTAGGACTTTCAGAACTATGCTGAATAACAGTGTTGAAAATGTGTATTCTTGTCATGTTTCAGATCTTATAGGAAAAACTTGCGGTTTTTTTTTCCATTCAGTATGATACTAGCTGTGGGTGTGTCATATATGGCTTTTATTATGTTTAGGTAAGTTCCTTCTCTTCCTAGTTTTTTGAAGGTTCTTATAATGAAGAGATATTGAATTCTATCAAATGTGTTTCTAGTGTCAACTAAAATGATCATATGGTTTTTGTCCTTCATTCTGTTGGCATGTTGTATCATATTCATTGATTTGCATATGTTGAACTATACTTGCATCCTTGGGAAAAATCCCACTTGGCCATGATAGATAATCTTTTTATTTTATTTTATTTTATATTATTATACTTTAAGTTCTGGGGTACATGTGCACAATGTGCATGTTTGTTACATAGGTATACATGTGCCATGTTGGTTTGCTGCACCCATCAACTCATCATTTACATTAGGTATTTCTCCTAATACTATCCCTCCCCCAGGCCTCCACCCCGCAACAGGCCCTGGTGTGTGATGTTCCCCTCCCTGTGTCCATGTGTTCTCATTGTTCAACTCCCACTTATGAGTGAGAACATGTGGTGTTTGGTTTTCTCTTTTGTGTTACTTTGCCGAGAATGAGGGTTTCCAGTTTCATGTTTTGTTAAATTGGTTTGCTACTATTTTCTTCAGGATTTTTGTATCAATGTTCATCAGGGATACTGACCTGCAGTTTTCTTTGTTTGATGTGTCTTTGTCTGATTTGGGTATCAGGGTAATAGTGGGCTCATAGAAAAAGTTTGGATGTACACCCTCCTCTTCTATTTTTTGGAACAGTTTTACTATGACTGGTATCGGTTTTTTTAAATTTTTTGTTTAATTCAGCAATGAAGCCATAGAATTCCAGGCTTTTTTTTTTTTTGGCTGGGAGAATTTTTATTACAAATTTGATCTTGTCATTTATTATTGGTCTGTTTATGTTTTAGATTTCTTTATGGTTTAATCTTGGTAGGTTGTATGTGTCTAGGAATATATCTATCTCTAGGTTTTCTAATTTATTGCTATATAGTGGAGCATAATAGCCACTCCTTTCAATTTCTGTGGTGTCAGTTGCAATATATATTTTTTTTACCTCTGATTTTATTTCTTTGGATCTTCTCTCTTTTTTTCTTAGTCTGAGTAAAGTTTCATCAAATTTGTTTGTCTTTTCAAAAAATCAGCATTTTGTGTCGTTGATTTTTTGTGTTATTTTATTAATTTCCATTTCTTTTCTTTCTGCTCTGATTTTTATTATTTCTTCTACTAACTTTGGGTTTGGTTTGCTCTTGCTTTTCTAGTTCTTTGAGATGCATCATTAGGCTGTTTATTTTATGTTTTTCTTCTTTTTTGATGTAAGAACTTATAGATACAAACTCCCATCTTAGTATTGCTTTTCTGTACCCCATAGGTTTTAGTATGTTGTGTTTTCATTATTATTTGTTTCAAGAGATTTATTAATATCTTTATTAATTTATTCATTGACCCACTGGCCATTCAGGAGCATATTGTTTAATTTCTATGTATTTGTATAGGTTCCAAAATTCCTCTTATTATTAATGTCTAGTTTTATTCCATTACAGTAAGATAAGGTGCTTGATACCATTTAAAGGTTTTGAATGTTTTAAGACTTGTTTTGTGACCTATCATATGGTCTGTGTTTGAGAAAGATCCACGTACTGAGGAGAAGAATGTATATTCTGCCACCATTAGATGAAATATTCTGAAAATAGCTAATAGGTCTATTTTGTATGGTGCAAATTAAGTTCATGTTTCTTCATTTATTTTCTGTTTGGATGATCTGTCCAATGCTGAAAATAGGATGTTGATGTCTCCAGCTGTTACTGTATTCAGGTCTACCTCTCTCTGTATTTACCAGGGTTCTCTAAACGGACAAAACTAATACGATAGATGAATATATGAAGGGGAGTTTATTGGGATAATTGACTCACACGATCACAAGGTAAAGTCCCATAATAGGCTGTCTGCAGGCTGAGGAGCCTGGAAGATAATCCGAGTCCCAAAACCTCAAAAGTAGGGAAGCTGATAGTGCAGCCCTCAGTCTGTGGCCAAAGGCTCAAGAGCTCCTGGCAAATCACTGGTGTAAGTCCAAGAGTCCAAAAGCTGAAGAACTTGGAGTCTGATGTTTGAGGGCAGGAAGCATCCAGCATGGGAGAAAGATGGAGTCCAGAAGACTCAGTAAGTCTGTACTTTCCATGCCTGCTTTTATGCTGGCAGCTGATTAGATGGTGCCCACCCAGATTGAGGGTGGGTCTGCCTCTCCCAGCCCACTGACTCAAATGTTAATTTCCTTTGGCAACACCCTCACAGGGACACACCCAGGAACAATACTTTTCATCTTTCAATCCAATCAAGTTGACATTCAACATTAACCGTCACATTCTCTTTAGCTCTAATAATATTTGCTTTATATATCTCTGTGTTCCAGTGTTTAGTACATATATATATTTACAATTGTTATATCCTCTTTCTAAATTGATGCCTTTATCATTATATACTGACCTTCTTTGTCTCTTCTTATAGTTTTTGTATTGAAGTCTATTTTGTGTAAGTACAGCTACTCCTGTATCTTTTTTGGTTTTCATTAGCATGCAGTATCTTTTCTATCCCTTTATTTTCAGTCTACATATGCCTTTATAGGTGAAGTGTGTTTTTTTGTAAGCAACGGATTATTGGGTATTTTATTTTATGCATTCAGCCACCCTATATCTTTTAATTGAAACATTTAGTCCATTTACATTTAATGTTATTATTGATAGGTAAGGACTTACTCCAGGCATTTTGTTATTTGTTCTCTTGTTGTTTTGTGGTTCTCTATTCCTTCTTTCCTTCCTTCCTGTCTTCCTTTTAGCGAAGGTGATTTTCTCTGGTGGTGTGTCTTATGTTCTTACTTTTTATTTTTTGTGTGTTTGTTGTGTGGTTTTAGATTTGAGGTTACCATGAGGCTTGCAAATAGTATATTGTAACCCATTATTTTAAACTAATGACAACTTTATGCTGACTGCAAAAACTAACTTAGAAGCAAAAGGAAAAGTAATAAAAATTCTACACTTTAACATTGTCCCCTGCTTTTTAACTTTTTGTTGTTTATATTTACATCTTATTGTACTATCTATGTACTGAAAAGTTGTTGTAGTTATAATTTGTATGGGTTTATCTTTTCAACTTTCTACTTAAGATAAGACTAGTTTACACTTCACAATTACAGTGTTATTCTGTGTTTTCCTGTGTACTAAATATTACCAGTAAGTTTTGTACCTTCCAAATGATTTCTTATTGCCCATTAACTTCCTTTACTTTTAGATGGAAAAACTCCCTTTAGAATTTTTTTGACAAGTCTCATGTTGATAAAATCCCTCCATTTTTTTTGAGAAAAATCTTTATTTCTTATTCATGCTTTAAGAACATTTTTACTCAATATACTATTATAGGTTAGTAGATTTTTCCCTCAGAATTTTAAATATGTCATGCCACTCTCTCCTGGCCTGTAAAGTTTCCACTGAAAAGTCTGCTACCAGACATATTGAATCTCCATTGTATGTTATTTGTGGCTTTTCTCTTGCTGCGTTTAGGATTCTATCTTTATCATTGACATTTCACAGTTTGATGATTATAAATGCCTTGAGGTAGTCTTCTTTGGGATAAATCTTCTTGGTGTTTGTACTCGAATACTGACATCTTTGAATAAATTTTTCATTCTTATCTCCACTTTAAGGCCAATAATTCTTAGATTTGCCATTTTCAGGCAATTTTCTAGATTTTGTAGGCATGAATCATTGCTTTTTCTTCTTTTTTCTTTTGACTCTTCTGATTTTCTATTTTCCAATAACATGTCTCAAATCTCACCAATATCTTCTTCTGCTTGATCAGTTCTGCTGTTAAAATACTCTGATGCTCTTCAGAATGTGAATTGCATTTTTCAACTCCAGAATGTATGTTTGATTCTTTATTTATTTTTAATTAGTTCAACCTGTTAAATTTGTATAATAGGATTCTGAATTCCTTCTCTGTGTTACCTTGAATTTCTTTGAGTTTCCTCAAAACAGCTATTTTGAATTCTCTGTCTAATAGATAACGTATCTCTGTCTCTCCATGATTGTTCTCTGGTAACTTATTTATTTCTTTTGGTAAGGTAATATTTTCCTTTGTGGTCTTGATGCTTGCGCGTGTTCCTTGGTGTCTAGGTATTGAAGAGTTAGGTATTTATGGCAGTCTTTACAATCTGGGCTTGTGTGTACTCGTCCTTTTTGGGAAAATTTTTCAGTTATTCAAAGGGACTTGAGTTTTGTGATCTAAATTTTTGGTCACTGCAGCCATATCTGCATTGTGTGGTACCCCAAGCTAAGTAACACTATGGTTTTTGCAGACTCGTCGAGGTACTGCCTTAGTAGTCTTGGATAAGATCCAGAAGAATTATCTGGATTGCCAGGCATAGGCTTTTGTTCTCTTCTCTTACATTCTCTCAAACAGAGTCTTTCTGTGCTGAGCCGCCTGGAACTGTGGGAGGGGTGACATAATCACCCTTGTGGCCGCCACCGCTGGGACTGTACTCAGTCAGACTTGAAGCAAGCATAGCACTAAGTCTTGCCCAAAGTCTGTTGTAACCACTACCTGGATACCACCTCTGCCTGGTCAAAGCAGTAGGGCTCTGCAGTCAGCAGGTGGTAAAACCGGATAGGCTTGTGTCTTTGCCTTAAGGGCAATGACTTCCCCTAGCCTCCAGGCAGGTCCAGAAATGCTGTCATTGAAACAGGCCTGAAGTCAGAAACCTTAGAAATCTACCTGGTGCTGGGGTTGTTTGTTTTTTTTTCATGTAAATTTGTTTGAATTCTTTGTAGATTCTGGATATTAGCCCTTTCTCAGATGAGTAGATTGCAAAAATTTTTTCCCATTCTGAAGATTGCCTGTTCACTCTGATGGTAGTTTCTTTTGCTGTGCAGAAGCTTTCTAGTTTAATTAGATCCCATTTGTCAATTTTGGCTTTTGTTGCCACTGCTTTTGGTGTTTTAGACATGAAGTCACTGTCCATGCCTATGTCCTGAATGGTATTGCCTAGGTTCTTTTCTAGGATTTTTTATGGTTTTTGGTCTAACTTTTAAGTCTTTAATCCATCTTTAATTAATTTTTGTATAAGGTGTAAGGAAGGGGTCCAGTTTCAGCTTTCTACATATGGCTAGCCAGTTTTCCCAGCACCATTTATTAAATAGGGAATCCTTTCCCCATTTCTTGTTTTTGTCAGGTTTGTCAAAGATCAGATAGTTGTAAATGTGTGGTATTATTTCTGAGGGCTCTGTTCTGTTTCATTGGTCTATATCTCTGTTTTGGTACCAGTACCATGTTGTTTTGGTTACTGTAGCCTTATAGTATAGTTTGAAGTTAGGTAGCGTGAAGGATATGAATGGACACTTACTTCTCAAAAGAAGACATTTATACAGCCAAAAGGCACATGAAAAAATGTTCATCATTGCTGGCCATCAGAGAAATGCAAATCAAAACCACAATGAGATACCATCTCACACCAGTTAGAATGGCAATCACTAAAAAGTCAGGAACAACAGGTGCTGGAGAGGATGTGGAGAAATAGGAACACTTTTATACTGTTGGTGGGACTGTAAACTAGTTCAACCATTGTGGAAGACAGTGTGGCAATTCCTCAAGGATCTAGAACTAGAAATACCATTTGACCCAGCCATCCCATTACTGGGTATATACCCAAAAGATTATAAATCATGCTGCTATAAAGACACATGCACACGTATGTTTATTGTGGCACTATTCACAATAGCAAAGACTTGGAACCAACCCAAATGCCCATAAATGATAGACTGGATTAAGAAAATGTGGCACATACACACCATGGAATACTATGCAGCCATAAAAAAGGATGAGTTCATGTCCTTTGTAGGGACATGGATGAAGCTGGAAACCATTATTCTCAGCACACTATCGCAAGGCCAAAAAACCAAACACTGCATGTTCTCACTCATAGGTGGGAATTGAACAATGAGAACACATGGACACAGGAAGGGGAACATCACACACCGGGGCCTATTGTTGAGTGGGGGGGAGCAGGGAGGGATAGCATCAGGAGATATACCTAATGTAAATGACGAGTTAATGGGTGCAGCACACCAACATGGCACATGTATACATATGTAACAAACCTGCACCTTGTGCACATGTACCCTAGAATTTAAAGTATAACAATGATAATAAAAAAATTTACCTGGTACTGTATTCTATTGCAGATGAGCTGAAACTGAAGCCACCAGACAAAGTGCTTTCTACTATTTCCTTCCCTTTCTCCAGGCAGAGGAGTCTCTTCTCAGGTCCACCACCACCACAGGCCTACAGGGAGTACAGCCAAGGTACTGCTGATGTTCACTTAATACTCAATGGCTTTTCAATGTGTGTTCAGTTCACTTAACACCCATTGCCACTTCATTCAATTCTGGTGAATGATTCCAGGCCTGGAACTCACCCTTCAGGGCAGTGTTCTCCCCTCTGGCCCAGGGTAGATCCAGAGATTCCATGTAAGAGTGGAGGCCTGTAATTGAGCTGAAGAGAAAGTACTCATTAATCTTCTCTCTGCTTTTCTCAAGCAGAAGGGGTCTCTCCTTATAGACACTACAGCTATGAATATTGTGGGTCACACCCGAAGCCAGCATATTTGAGAGTCTCATCCAACGCCCATGACATACTAGCTAAGTATCACTGCTGATTACTCAGGGCCCAAGACTCTTTAGTGAGCTGCTGATGAATCCTGCCAGGACTGGGTCCTTCTCTTCAAGGAAGTGGGTTTCCTTCTGGCCCAGGGTGGGTCTAGAAATGTCATCTTGGAGCTATAGCTTGAAATGGGGGCCTCATGACGCTGCCCAGTGCCCTATCCTACTGTGGTTGTGCTGACATACACATTGCAAGATAAAGTCCTTTCTACTCTTCCCTCTCCTCTCCTCAAGTGGAAGGAAGGGGTCTCCTTAAGAGCTGGGAGGTGTGCTGCTCAGAGTTGGGGGAGGGGTGACACAAACACTTTCTTAGCCATCTGGATTTGTATCTTACTGGGTCATGTGCCCTCCAAGTCCACTGGCTCCAAGCCCAGTATAGCACTAGGGCTTGACTAGGAGTTGCAGTCCTCATGGCCTAGACTGCCTTTGAAGTTTGACCCAAGGTGCCAATGCTTGTTGAAACTCAAGCTCCGACCACCTACCGGGATAAGCAATTCCCCTCTGGCTAGGGCTGGCCTAAATGCTCCTTCCATGAGCACCAGCTGAGCTCTGCTTGGTGTTGACAGTACTGTGTTGAAGTGCAAAGTCCCACAATTGCTGTGCTGTCCCTCCCCCAAGTGCACAGATTCTTTCTCCATGCTACACTGCCAGCTACTGACAGGGTGATGAAACAGGGTTGGTGTCAGAAATTTAAGACGGTCTTTCCTACCCTCATCAATGCCTTTTTCAATGATATGAAGTTAAAACTAGGTATGGATTGCTCACCCAATTTGTTGGTTCTTATGAAGGTGCTTTTTGTGTGTATGTAATTAGCTGTTAAATTTACTCTTCCAGAGAAGAGGATAATTGGCAGAGGCTTTTATTTGGCCATCTTGCTCTGTCTCCTCTCCTCTTTTTATTTATTTATTTTTTTACAGTAAACTATTTCATTTTTTTACATTCATGCAAACATACCATGTTCTGAATAATATAAAAGCATGCACACTGATGTCATTCTTATAAAGATAAACTAGGTAAAAAAAAAAAAACTAAGCTATAGGTAAACAAAAATAATAATACAAACAGAAGTTTAATGATGTTGAACAGATTTACAGGTAGGCAGAGAGCTCTTGATTTTAGGAAATGATAATTCAAGTAAATATCCATACGTGTTAAAGAGAAGTTTCTAATTTTCAAAACATTTTGTTACAAATAGTTTTAAATACCATATTTTATAGACCTTTTGTGAGAAGAATATAAGTGTAGTCCTAAAAAAATAATACTCAAGTGATTGTATGCAGGTTTCTTTGTCTTGTTAAAATGAGTTATAATCGACATAATTCCAATGATATTGCTTCCTGAAGTGTAAATTTATATCACATTCATGATATTCAAAATAAGGTACACAATTTACATTTGTTTTAACCTAGGTGGAAATAAGTTCTAGATTTAGTGCAGTACTGTTCATAAATTTATTTAACAAGGTCATGGGAGGGATATAAATTTTACTTTACAGGAAATTGAAAATTACAATTTGGCATGAGCTCAATTTTCATAAGTTTTATCTATGCCCCCATTCATAGTCAGGTCAGCTGCATCCTGAGTGTATGTGAACATGTGTATACATCTACATACTAACATATACAAACTCATACTATGTGACTCTTCAAAGGTGTTGCTTGAAATGGCTTATTCTCTAGTTTTGGATAAGCAGTGTAATGCAGCCAGATATGATTTTCCTTAGGTTTTTTTTTTCATTTTGTTTATCATGATTCGATCGGTGTGTTTCATTTGGATCATTGGTATAATTTTCTAGCAAAAATTCACTAGCAGTAAGCAGAAATGTTAACATAAAGAATAAGTAGCCAATCAAGTTTAAATTATAACATAAAAAAGAGCATTTCACATTTTTTTAAAAGCATTATTCTATGGAATATATTATTACATGACTGGAAATTATGTGATTTCATTCTTGGAACGAAGCTCTTGTTCTGTGGTGACACTTTAAATTACTGTATAACTCCATTAAAACTAATGTAATATAAACAAATTAACTCAGTTCTGATGAATTAAGTCTGCATTCCATTGGCTTGAGGAAGGTGATTTTCCCTACACAAATGCAAAATTCCTCTTCGGTAGCCAGTGAAGCTCACTCACAAGGGCTTAAAGAGTTCAACTTTGAAACAGGGCAACACTGGCTAGCACTGCATTTCCTCACTGCAAGTCTACACTCAAGCCACTGAGCAGCATCACTGAAGGAAATCCAAGGGGAAAGGACTAGAACACAGTGGAAATCTACCAGGGTAACATAAAAGTGATTTTTGAATTAAGTATTTTTGCTAAAGCAAAGAAAAATAGGCACATGGTAGTAAATCTTGTCGAAATGTCTGTAGGCTCCCATTACATCAAATATCTGTGAACTCAAGGTCTAACAAAAGTTCTCACAGGTTATTTTCACGTAAAAAATAATCGGGAACCTTAATGTTTCAAACACAGCACAAAGGTTGGGAAGTACTAAAGTGTAGCTTAAGTCTTCAAAATGGTGGGCAATTTAAAGTTCTGTTTCAGTGAATCAAATTTACAATTTTAACTTAAACTACATTCTCATATGTTATACATTATTCTTTTGTGTAGAGTACAGGGTGTGCAAATTAAGCAATTTCAATATATATTAGAAAAGTTCATTATTTTGCAAAATAGAAAGTGAACAAAATCAGCTAATAATGCAATGTAATGAAAACTTGCACTAAATAGAGCTTCTTCCCCATGAAAATTTTCCCCTTTTCCTTTAACATCTTCATATTTAAATACCATTTATTTCATTCACTTGCAGAAATTAAGAAAGAAGTGAAATATTACATAGCTGCAAGATACTAATTAGTGATAAGAGTTTGGAGCTGTTAGGTTGTAATAAATGGAAAATAACAAGAATAGTAAAATATGCTGAAAATTAATGTTCAAATGTAGTAATTTGAATTACAAAACAATAACAAATTATGAAATCCCTAATCTTCTGAAGGTGTCATGGGAACTGTCTGTTTAGCTTTTACCTCACCAGCAGCCTCATGACTAAAGGTATAAAACCATGTATGATTGTGCAAGACCAACCACATATTGGCTTTAGTCACAAATTTTTAAATGGTTTTACTGATGGCATGCTTGTGACCAGAGCCTGGAAGGAAACTGTATGTAAAACATACAGTGGACATATGGAACCTTGCTTCTAGCCTCTGGTCATAAGCATGCCATCAGTCAAACCATTTAAGATGAATACTGATGCTAAAGTCTTCTTGATTCTTAATTCGAAATTAACAGTTTTTCTAAGAAATTTGTTTCTTCTTTCTGGGTCTGGTGAGTCATAGTTCTTTGAAACCTTATTTTTTTTATTTCAAAATGTTCATGAAGCCATCCTCTCATATATTCTTGCCCTTCTGGGACACGTTTTTTGTCTGTATCATCAATGTGAGTAATAATTTTGGGGCATTCTTTGCAGAGAAATTCAGTCATGGATAGTGATTTTTGAGTTTCTCCTTATCATCTTTTCCTTCATAAACTACTGTAACATTACAAATTGCATCAACTAATTCTTCATAGAATTAAAAGCAACATGAGCTGTCTTTGTTAGTGGTGTCAGCATGCTCTAATACTGCAAGGCCTTGTTGAGCAGCAAATTGACGAGCTGAAAGGACTTGTTTGTCTGGTGTTATACCTTGTACCTTCTGGAAAAAAATCATAAAATGCATAGCAGTTTCCGCATTCATGTAGCTCTGCCACTTGTTTCTCATTTCTTTTTCAATACATTTGGCACTTTCTTTTAGATTCCTCCATGCTGAGACAAGTAACACCTGTATGATGGAAGTCATTTTAATCTTTCAGCACAGAGCACATAGGTCCAAGAGCATTCGGCTCAATGGCCAATATATCAGTAACAATCCAGTCAACTGTGCTTTGATGATTTGCTAAATACATTATATTTTTCTTAATTTTTGGCATACTTCCATGTAGCAATATCTGTACTCTGGTGTAGTTCTCAAAGAGCGCCACACTCTGGTAGACGCAGTAGAGCCAGCTGTCCACCGCCTGGAAGAAGCTGGCGGACGGGATGACGGAGGGCAGCTGCCAGACTCCCCAGGCCGGCACATGGGTGAGCACCATGCCTAGGAGCATGACGTCCGAAGCAGGCGAGTACATGTGAAGTACTAGAGACAGCAGCATCTTCCTGGCTCTGTGGCTGAAGGCTCTGCCTGCTCTTGCGGCCCCACTGCCCGGGGCCCTCAGCCAAGGCAGGCTTAACGGTCAGTCATCACGCCAGCCAGACCCACCATCACTCCCTCACTGCTTGGTTCCCTGCCATAGTTCTCAACCTCCTCCCCCAGCCACTAGGGTCACATGGCCATTGGGCATGTGGAGGTCAGGACAAGTACGGGCCTGACGTATTTGCTCAAGGTCTCATGTCTTCTCTTAATTGAACCTCTTTCTCTCTCTCTTTTTCTTTTTTCCTGATTTGGAAAGTTTATGCTCCAAATTTCTCTTAAGTTGAAGCACATGAGACACAATATTTAATGAGTTGTTAATATGTCTTTATAGTACTTTAATTGATAATTTAGTTAGCTGTATAATTTTAGGTTTTGTAATATTTTTTCTCATAATTGTAGTATATTTTTCACTGCTTTTAAGCTTCCTGAGAAACTGCTGAGAGGTTACTGTCATTCTAATTTGTGATTTTTCTTATAAGTCTTGTTCTTTTATTTTTTTCTGAAATCTTGTATATTTTCAGTGTAACCTGTATATGAACATTTCGTGGTTATGTTGCTTAATGTAGGTCCGTTTTAATTAATTGCATTCAGTGGACACTCTCAGTCTGGACACTCATGACTTGCCCTTCTAGAAAATTTTATTCTGTTTCTTCTTTGAAGAAACTGTTCTTGTTATTGTAGTTTTCTCTGTTATCTCTTTCTGTAAATCCTACTATTTAGATGTTGGAATTTTTGTGCTGGTCAATATTTTTCTTATAAATTTTCTCTTGTTAATTACTTCTTTTTACTTTTGATTCTCCTTTCTTGGAGATTTATTCAACTCCATATGCCAAAGTTTCTACTAAGGTTTAATTTGTTTTCGTATTTTTAATTTTCAAGAGATCAATGTTGATGGTCTTTCTTTCAAAGTGTCCTATTTTTGTTTTTTGGATACGATATTTACTCTTATTGTCTAAGGCTATTAATAGAAATATATTTTCATATATAATTTCCCCTGAATCATCTCATTTCCTTCAAAATTGATTTTTGTTGTTTATTTGATTAGATCATTGACTCTCACGTTAAATGATTTCCTCAAAACCCTGTGCTCCTGTTGGTCTGTGCATAATTATAAAGAGACAATATAAAAAGATGTTTGAAACAGCATGAGAGTGGGGTTTGTTAACTATATTTCTGCTATGGATAATATGGCTGGACAGTTTAACTGAAGAGTCTCTAATATCATTGTCAATCTTTTATTTATTTTTATATGTATTTTTCCCATTTCAATCGGTTAAATTTGCGAGAAATTATTTCCATTCCTTTTTCTGGAGGATATAACTCTGTCTACTAAAGTTCTGGATGTGGAGAGAAGAAAATCAGCTAAGGTATCTCTATATTCAGTGCCTAAACTTTCAGTTAAGCCCTCTTTGAGTAAGCTACCCCTGACATAAATTGCATCTTATTTCACCTAGTACAGAGACTCTGTTTTGTCCTCCTCATAGAATAAACCTGTTTTCTGCAGGGATGATGAAAAGACAATCACCCACTAGAGGGAATCTGGATAGGTCATCTAATTGCTTCTTAATAATATTTTCAACCAGTTCTTCCAAAGGTACACAGTGCCAACAATTAGGGATCCTTTCGGGCATTGTATAATTTAAATTGAATTTCTTTCTTCAACTTTCTCTATTGCCAGCTTGTGATTCACATATCTTAGTATTACCTTGCTTAGACTTTGTGGTAGCTCAACAACCACTCATCTGTCTGATTTTTATCTCTAATTTTTTCCCGCTACTTTTCTTTCATTATTTAGTTTTTATGAGATTATGTCTTTAAAATGCCTTTTCTATAATGTTAATGGTGTTTGTGAGGGAACAGAGCTGAAATGATGGTTTTAATCCACCATCATTAACTGAAAGTCAAGATATATGATTTTCACAGAACTTCCTCACATCATGTTTTTAGTTCAAGTACCATTGCTGGGCCTCTCCATATCACAAACAATTTGAGGCTGCCAAATCCATTTCTATCTCAGAACAGCCCAGAGTGTTTTTGCAGACCATAATGAAAACTCATTGAAAAATACAAACTATATATTTTCTCATTGAATTCAAGAAAATGTTTGGAAAAGAGGAAGTGCAACTAACACAGTCTGGTTGTGTAAACACAATCATTAGAGTCATTTCAGAAGGATATTCCTGAAAGTTGCTATGTTTGATGGATTGCCAAAGAGAAACTTCTTTTAACAATAAAAAGGTTCCTCAAGAGACAACAGATATCTATCTCAAGAGAGAAGCCATAGCCTTGTATTGATGGGCACTGAAATACACAGGTTAAGTTCAGTTGTGTCTATGTTCCTAACTCCCCTCCATCATGTCTTTGAACAATTCTCTTTATATGAAGTAATACATATAAATAAGTTCTAGCATAGCGAAATTTTACCTCTCCCTTGGCATTTACAGTAAACAAATCTAACAATTCTCTCTCTTTTCAGTCAGCACATATGCCTTCTGTACAATTCGACACACTGCTATTTTGTAATATTTATTGAATGTCCACAATGTATTCAGTGGAGTTTTATATACTTCTGATAAGCAGATCTAGGATCTTGTATCTGACACACACTCAGTATTCAATAGTGTAATAAAGACTGATATTGTCTAGTGTATAGCCACTGGTGAACTGAAAGTAGGTACAACTAGTCTCCACTTTTTCCTAAATTTATGTTTTATTTGATTTATTTCTTATATCAAGCTATAGTGAATCATACATTACACTGATGTAGGAAAACTCCCAAATATTTTTCTTAAATCTGTTGATTTACCAAGACCATTATTATTATTATTATTTTTAATTTGAGACAAGGTCTGACTCTGTCACCCAGGCTGGAGTACAATGGCGCAATCATGGGTCACTGCAGCCTTGACCTCCCTGGCTAAGATGATCTTCCCATCTCAGCCTCCAAAGCAGCTGGGACTACAGGCACACATCACCACGCCTGACTAATTTTTGTTTTTTTGTTGTAGAGATGGATTTTCTCCATGTTACCCAGTCTGGTCTCAAACTCATGGGCTCAAGGTGTCCACCTGCTCCAGCCTCCCAAAGTGCTGGAATTACAGGTGTGAGTGACCACACCTGGCCAAGAATAATATTTTATAGAAGCCTGGCTAATACAAGGAATGCTAAGTCTCTAGATCACCATGAAAATGTACTAGGAGAAATAAAGTAGGTTTAAGGAATTTTTCATTTGGAATTTCTAGGCAGCAGGGGCTGAAATAGGTGTTCTAGTAATCCAGTGTGCTGTGGCTAAACCTAATACTGACACACAACAGCCTAATTCCCTGAGATACATTTAAAATATGGTGAAAAAACCCTAGAAATTCAAAGGTCTCTGGCAAACTGTGGATAGAGGCAAGCAATTCCAGGGACTTCACCAAGTAATAGCAACTGTTATATAGACTTTCCACTTTGAGAGAGAAGCACAGGGTCATTCATATAGTGTGACATGTAATAAGCCGTCTGTTATAAAATATGGACTTCTAACATGTGGAATCACTGGTGACAGGATTGTGTGCTGTGGTTCAAAAGACCACAGAAATGGCAACTTGAATATAGACAGACTGAAATTATTTGATAAGCACTATTACATATAGACCTGAAAACTAGGAAAAATACATGGAAAAGGAGGAGACTGTAAGAGTTTGTAATCACCTAAGGTATTTTCTTATGACAGCCACCTATCAGCAGATAGAGCAATGCGGTGACTGATTGCTGATACTACCAAGTCTATGTAAGGAACACAGGAAAATTTACTTGCTACATTCAGCATCCTGAATATACTCAAGACTATTTTGATTTGGGATATATGATTTGCAATAACTATCAGGATATCAAAAAATATACTTTATGTGGAGACAAAAAAGAAGTCCCTAGCTGCTTGCATATTTATGAGCTAAGACTGGATATTTGCTAATTTTTTCTACCATAATACTGATGGCATGCTATTGACCATCTTGTCATATTGTCATGAATGTAATAAGATTTTAGCAAATAAGAAAGTGCTTAATTTTGTGCAAAATGAGGCAGTATAATATATACTTTCTATTCTTATTAAAGGCATATCAGTTACAATGGCGGGTTGCAAATAACTAAAAGTGACATTATGGGGAAAATGCAGAATTCAATGGAATAGACAGAAAATTATTTCAAAATACTGGCACTTCAGCTATCATTGGTAGCAGATATTTTGTTGCATGCTGTAAAACTACTAAAAAAATACACAAGTGCCATGATTTTATGGTTCAAAACTGATATGTCTGACTGGAACTTATACCTAAAATTTGTACCAGGCTTATTGAATAATACAACAAAGGAATAAATTTACGAACTTCTTCTTCTGAAGAACTAGACAGGTGATAGTTTCATAAAGGAAAGATATAAATAACAAAATCTCAGAGGCTGGATCTTTGGGAAAACAGTGGGTAGGAGGAAGGACTAACTTACAGCTCCCACTTACATGGACAGAGCAGCATGTGGATACCCATATCCAAAACTTTTGCTTGAAGAACCACAGCAGGACCATACCAGGAAAGCCAAAGGAATCCACAGACCCTTTGAAAGAAGTGAATTGCTACTTCAGGCTCCAGGAAATGGCCGAAAAACTCTGAGTGCCCAAAGCGTGAAAATGTGAAAGGGGGATCGTCTGCCCCTAAACAATCATCCTCACTGGGGAACCTTAATGTCCACATCATGGGAGAAGGATTTGACTTTACCTGGAGCTGAGATGAACTTAGAGAGCTGGGCAAAATAGAGGGATAGAGAAAGCTGTGGGACGAGGCCTGTTGGCATTCTTGGTTTCTGGGAAAGCCATTTCTGACTTTATCTCACAAGGATCCTTGGGTAAGGCCGCCTGTGGAATTGGGGAAAGACCACAGGGAGAAGGAAACCTCCAACTGAACTTTGTAACAATTTTGACAGAACACAAAGTTTCCTCGACATAATCTGGGGGAGAGGGTTAACTGGGGAGTGAAATCACAGCACATAAGTTGTGGCTGGTGGGGAGGCATGAAACCTAAAGGCCCTGCTTGCTTTTACAGCAGGGAGACCTGAAGCCTGGGGCAAGTCCTCAGCCCTGCACACCAGCTGCCTGGAAGTAAACTGGGTGCTGATGGTGGGGGCATAGTGGGAGTGAGACCAGCCTTTTGGGCTGCATGGGAGCTGGGTGAGGCCTGTAACTGCTGGCTTTCCCCCACTTCCCTGGCAGCCTGCATTATGCAGCAGAGGCAGTCATAATTCCCCTAGAAACATTCCTCTATTGGCCTAAGAACCACACCCCAATCCCGCACAGCGGCCTCAGCAAGCCTGGCCCAAGGGGAGTCTGAACTCAGACACACCTAACCCTGCCCACACCTAATGGTCTTTTTCTACCCTTCCTGGTAGCTGAAGACAAAGAACATAATCGCTTGGGAGCTCTATGGGCTGCCTGCTGCCTGAGAAACTTATCCTCGTGACCTTAGGCAAGCTTGTGTCCTCCCTATACTACCACAGCTGATGCTTTCTTGAAAGCGCCACCTCCTGGCTTCAGGCCAATCAACACAAAACTACCACAATAAACAAAAATACAACCAAGAACCCTCACAGAGTCCACTTCACTCGCCTGCTACCTCCACCAGAACAGGTGCTAGTATCCAAGGTTGAGAGACCTGAAGATGGATCACATCACAGGTCTCTTTGCAGACATTCCCAAGTAGCTGGGCACCTACATCCAGAAGAAAAATAACATTCACTGCAGTTCACTTCTCAGGAAGCCACATCTCTGAGCACCCACATCCAGGGAGCACCCCATGGGACAAAATAATCTGAACAGCAGCCCTTGAGCCCCAGGTCCTCCCTCTGACATAGTCTACCCAAATAAGAAGGAACTGGCAGGACAGTTCTGGTAATGTGACAAAGAAAAGTTCTTTAACACTCCAAAAGATCATGCTAGCTCACCAGCAATGAATCCAAACCAAGAAGAAATATCTGAATTGCCAGAAAAAGAATTCAGAAGGTTGCCTTTTAAGCTACTCAAGGAGGCACCAGAGAAAGGTGAATATCAACTCAAAGAAATTTTTTAAAAGTTACAGGATATGGACAAAAACAATCTCCAAATGAATACATAACATAAATAAAAGAGCAATCAGAACTTCTGGAAATGAAGGACACACTTACAGAAATGCCAAATACCCTGGAAAGTTTCAGCAATAGAGTTAAACAAGTAGAAGAAAGAAATTCAGAGCTTGAAGACAAGGCTTTTGAATTAACACAATCCTACAAAGACAAAAAAAAAAATTTTAAAAAGACAAAGTCTCCAAAAAGTCTGGGATATGTTAAATGGCCAAATTTAAGAATAATTGCTTCTTGAGGGAGAAATCAAAAAGTTTGAAAAACATATTTGAGGGAATAATTGAGGAAAACTTCCCCAGTCTTGCTAGAGATCTAGACCTCCAAATACAAGAAGCTTAAAGAACACCTGGGAAATTCATCACAAAAAGATCATCACCTAGGAACACAGTCTAAAGAATATCTAAAGTCAAGATGAAGAAAAGAATCTTAAGAGCTGTGAGGCAAAAACATCAGGTAACTTATAAAGGAAAACCTATCAGATAGCAGAAACTCTATAGACCAGAAGACATTGGGGTCCTTTAGCCTCCTTAAACAAAACAATTATAAGCCAATAATTTTTCATCTAGAGAAACAAAGTTCCATAAATAAGAAAATATATAGTCTTTTTCAGACACACAAATGCTTAGAGAATTCACCAACTACCAAGCCAGCACTACAAGAACTGCTAAAAGCAGCTGTTTTGTTTCAAACTCTAAGTCTTGAAACAAAACCTCAAAATAAACCAAAATAGAACCTCCTTAAAGCATAAATCTAACAGGACATATATAAAAATAACACAGTGAACATAATCCTAAATATTCAGGCAACAAATAGCATAATGAATAGAATAGTACCTCACATCTCAATGCTAATGTTGAATGCAAGTGGCCTAAATGCTCCACTTAAAGTTACAGAATGGCAGGATGATTAAAAATTCACCAAGTATCTGCTATCTTCAAGATACTCACCTAACACATAAATACTCATATAAACTTGAGGGAAAGGAGTGAAAAAAGATTTTCCATGCAAATGGACACCAAATGCCAGTAGGAGTAGCTGTTCTTATATCAGAAAAAAACACACTTTAAAGCAACAGCAGTTAAAAAAGACAAAGAGGGATTATATAATAATAAAAGGACTGGTTCAACAAGGAAATATAACAATTCTAAATATATATGCACCTAATACTGGAGCTCCCAACTTCATAAAACAATTACTACTGAACCTAAGAAATGCGATAGACAGCAACACGATAAGAGTGGGGGACTACAATATTCCATCGACTGCACTAGGCAGGTTAATAACAACGACAAAAAAAGACAGCAATTAGTAACAACAACAAAAAAATGGACTTAAACTATACCCTAGAGGGGCTGGGGGCAGTGGCTCATGCCTGTAATCTCAGCACTTTGGGAGGCTGAGGCGGGTGGATCACATAGGTTGGGAGTTCGAGACCAGCCTGGCCAACATGATGAAACCCCATCTCTACTAAAAATACAAAAAGTTAGCCAGGTGTGGTGGTGCATGCCTGTAATCCCAGCTAATCAGGAGGCTGAGGCAGGAGAATTGCTTGATCCTGGGAAGCAGAGGTTGTGGTGAGCCCCTAGAATAGATGGATGTAATAGATATTTACAGACATTCTACCCAATAACTGCAGAATATACATTCTATTCATCAGCATAAGGAACATTCTCCAAGATAGGCCATGTGATAGGACACAAAACAAGTCTCAATAAATTTAAGAAAATCAAAATTATATCAAGTACTCTCTCAGACCTCTGTGGAATACAATTGGAGCCCAACTCCAAAAGAAACTCTCGAAAGCATGAAAATACATTGAAATTAAATAACCTGCTTCTGAATGATCTTTGGGTCAACAACAAAATCAAAATAGAAATAAAAAAATTCTTTGAACTGAATGATAATAGTGACACAACCTATCAAAATATCTGGAATACAGCAGAACATGTCTAAGAGGAAAGTTCACAGCCTTAAACACTTACATCCAAAAGTCTGAAGGAGCACAAATAGACCATCTAAAGTCACACTTCAAGGAACTAGAGAAACAAGAACAAACCAAACCACAAACCAGCAGAAGAAAATAAATAACAAAGATAAGAGCAGAACTAAATGAAAGTGAAAGAAAGAATAGAAAAATACAAAAGATAAAACAAAAAGCTTTGTATTTGAAAAGATAAATAAAATTGAAAAACCATTAGTGAAATTAACAAAGAAAAGAGAGAAGATTCAAATAGCTCAGTTAGAAAGAAAATGGAAGATATTACAACCAATACTACCGAAATACAAGAGACCATTCAAAGTTACTATGAACACCTTTATGCACATAAACTAGAAAACCTAGAGGATATGGATAAATTCCTGAAAATATGAAACCTTCCTAGATTAAACCAGGATTAAACCAGAAATAGAAACTGAGCAGACCAATAACAAGCAGTGAGATTGAAATGGTGATATAAAAATTGCCAACAATAACAACATCAAAAAGTCCAGGATCAAATGGATTTATAGCTGAATTCTATCAGACATTCAAAGAAGAATTGGTACCAATCCTATTGACACTGTTCCACAAGATAGAATAAGAAGGAATCCTCATTATATCAGTTTATGAAACCAGTATCACCCTAATACCAAAAACCAGGAAAGGACATGGGAGAAAAAGAAAACTAAAGACCAAGATCCCTAATGAACATAGAGGTAAAAATCCTCAATAAAATACTAGCTAACTGAATCCATCAGCATATAAAAAGATAATGCACCATGATCATGTGGGTTTCATTTCAGGTATGCAGGGATGGTTTAACATAAGTAAGTCAATAAATGTGATACACCACTTAAACAGAATTAAAAACAAAAATCACATGATCATCTCAATAGATGCAGAAAAAGCATTTGACAAAATCCAGCATCCTTTATGATTAAAACCCTCAGCAAAATCGGCATAGAAGGGACATAATTTAATGTAATAAAAGCTATCTATGAGAAACCCACAACCAATATTATACTGAACAGGGAAAAACATAAACATTTCCCTAAGAACTGGAACAAGACAAAGATGTCCACTTCCACCACTTCTATTCAATATAGTGCTGGAAGTCATAGCCAGAGAAACCAGACAAGAGAAAGAAATAAAGGGCATCCAAATTGGTAAAGAGGAAGTCAAACTGTCACTGTTTGCTGATGATATGATTTTATACCTAGAAAACCCTAAAGACTCATCCAAAAAGCTCATATAACTGATAAATGAATTCAGAAGTTTTAGGATACAAAATTAATATACTCAAATCAGTAGCACTGCTATACACCAACAGATACCAAGGTGAGAATCAATTCAAGAACTCAACCACTTTTACAAAAGCTGCAAAAATAATAAAATAAAATAAAATAAAAATAAAATAAAATAAAATAAAATAAAATAAAATAAAATAAAATACTTAGGAATATACCTAGCCAAGGAGGCAAAAGACCACTACAAGGAAATTATAAAACACTGCTGAAATAAATCATAGACAAAACAAACAAGTAGAAACACATCCCATGCTCATGGATAGGTAGGATCAATATTGTGAAAATGACATACTGTCAAAAGCAATCAACAAATTAAATGTAATTCCCATCAAAATACCACCATCATTCTTCACAAAACTAGAAAAAAAATTCTAAATTTATATGGCACCCCCAAAAAAGAGCCATCATAGCCAAAGCAAGACTAAGCAAAAAGAACAAATCTGGAGTCATGACGTTACCCAACTTCAAACTATACTATAAGCCCATAGTCACCAAAACAGCATGGCACTGGTATAAAAATAGTCACATAGACCAATGGAACGGAATAGAGAACCCAGAAATAAAGCCAAATACTTACAGCCAACTGATTTTCAACAAAGCAAACAAACACATAAAGTGGGAAAAGGACACCCTATTCAACAAATGGTGTTGGGATTATTGGCTAGCCACATGTAGAAGAATGGAACTGGATCCTCATCTCTCATCTTTCACAAAAGCCAACTCAAGATGCATCAAAGACTTAAATCTAAGACCTGAAACCATAAAAATTATAGAAGATAACATAGGAAAAAACCCTTCTAGATATTGGCTTAGGCAAAGACCTCATGACCAAGAACCCCAAAGCAAATGCAACAAAAACAAATATAAATAGATGACACCTAATTAAACTAAAAAGCTTCTGTACAGCAAAAGAAACAATCAGCAGAGTAAACAGACAGCCTACAGAGTGGGAGAAAACTTCTCAATCTATACATCTGACAAAGGGCTAATATCCAGAATCTACAAGGAAGTCAAACAAATCAGCAAGAAAAACAAACAGTCCCATCAAAAAATGAGCTAAGGACATGAATAGACAATTCTCAAAAGAAGATATACAAATGGCCAACAAACATATGAAAAAATGCTCAACATCACTAATGATCAGGGAAATGCAAATCAAAGCCACAATGCAATACCACCTTACTTCTGCAAGAACGGCTGTAATCAAAAAATCAAAAACTAATAGATGTTGATGTGGATGTGGTGAAAATGGAACACTAGTACGACCACTTTGGAAAATAGTATGGAGATTCTGTAAAGAACTAAATGTAGATCTACCATTTGATCCAGCAATCCCACTACTGGGTGTCTACCCAGAGGAAAATAAGTCATTATACCAAAAAGATACTTTCACATGCATGTTTATAGCAGCACATTTTGCAATTGCAAAAATATGGAACAAGCCTACATGCCATCAATTAAAGAGTGGATAAAGAAAATGTGGTATATACCATGGAATACTACTCAGTCAAAAAAAGGAACAAAATAGTGGCATTCACAGCAACCCAGATGGAACTGGAGACCATTATTTTAAGTGCAGTAACAGGAATGGAAAAGCAAATATCATATGTTCTCGTTCATAAGTGGGAGCTAAGCTATGAGGATGCAAAAGCATAGGAATGATACAATGGACTTTGGGGACACGGGGCAAGGGTGGGAGTGGAGTGAGGGACAAAAGACTATACACTGGGTACAGTGTACACTGCTGGGGTGACGGGTGTACCAAAACCTCAGAAATCACCACTGAAGAACTTATCCATGTAACCAAACACCACCTGTTACCCCAAAACCTGTTGAAATAAAAAAAATAGCTACAAAGGCCTCCAGATATTCTTAGCACAATATGACATGTTTTAAGCTTTTTATGAATAATCTTGTTTTAGATTAAACAATACAATAAGAAGATAAGAAGCTTGAACTCTAGATCTATATTACGTGGTTTTAAATCATGTATTTAATTCATGTACTAACTTGAACTATGTTCTTGGCAAATTAACCCATCTGTGCCTTAGTTTCCTCACTTGTGCAGATATTTACTGTACATATTCATGATGGCATTGTGATAATTAAACGGATTAATGTTTACATAGCAGTTGCTGGCACATATGAAGCACTACATGAATCATATTTAGTATGTGTTACACTAATGAAATATATCCTGAACTGTGTTACGTGTTATATGCCATGGGAGTTGGAATAGTTGTTTAATTTTTAAAATGTGTGTATTTGATTTTACCGTGTCTGCCAACCTGAGCAAATCTAATAAGAAAGGAAATTCTATGCTTGCTATTCAAGAATCACAAGCAAACAGATTTCGCCAGTTGTGGAATAATGTGATTTTGTCCACGTAGAGCAAATGTAGACAAATTGACCTCCAAGGCTTTGACAGCCCAAATAGCTAAAATGCTATTTATTTAGAAATGAAAACCATTAAAATTATTTTGAACATTGAGGAAAATTACAATGTATCTATGTCCCTATAGTCACTTCATTACGGATATTAGTATTTTTTATATGTTGGTCACAGTTGTGAACATCATACTTATAACAATTTTTAAGAGCAATAGTTAAGTCTCACCTGTTAGTAATGAATCAGCATTAAAATGCAAAATGTCTCCCTTTCAGGGTGCTAAAATTAGCCTTAGGAAATTGTGAGATAAGACTTAAGGTATATGCTGTGGGCAAACATAATCAAATAGTCATTACTAAGACAAACAATATAACCTCTTTAAGACTATGAAAAAAAAATCCTACCAATCTCACTATATGACATATGTGAATTGAAATGACAAAATACAGAACAATAGTGATTTGATACTATGCGCTAAATGGTGTAAGATCCTTTGATTTTGTTATAAATTTTCTCAAAATCTCAGATTTGCATTTTCAGACACTTAGAGATAAAAAATATTTGTTTAAAAATTAGAAAACAAAAACATTTTGATGTCCTTTTATCTTACACAATGAGTGCCTTGGTTCAATTTTTCTAAAATTAAAAAATTAACATAATCTATTAATATTTAAAAGAATTATTAGTTCTCAAAATGAAACTCTATAATCAGAAATCTTTAATTTGCCACCACATTTTTATGTTCATGGGAAAAAATGATTAGTTTGTACCTATAGAGAATTAAAATACCTATTCAATATAAGACAAAGGTTTGTTTAGAAAAATTCATCCATGTTTATTTAAATTGTACCGTAAAATGAATTACCACATTATTAGAGATTGATCATTAAGTTTTCACAAATGAAAATTAGCATATATGAGCACTGTGTATTAAACAAGTAATATCTAGTAAGTTACCCTACCAGGATTTCTTGTTTTATGAAAGATGGCAGCAAACAAAACTAATTAAAGAAAACATAATACATTTTATAGATGATTTACTGAGGAAGTTGAATTTTACATACACGAGGTGCCTCATTCAAATCTTCGAATTATTATTTGAACGTTTGTGTAGGACACCAAATTAATATTCAGACATGTTCAATTTAATGTTGTATTTCATTATTTGGTGTTTTACTTTAAATTATTTTCAACTATAGTTTTTTTAAAGTAATCTTACAGATACTGTGAGTCATTGGATAAGAATGAGCAAATAGGGAGTAAGCATGCAGTTCATGATTAGAAAGTTTAATTTGCTTTCTTTAATTTATAATCACATGTTATGTCTAAATCTTCCTCACTGTACAGGGACAGAAGAATGTAGTTATAATGGGTAATACCAGTCGCAGAAGTGAAAAGCAATTACAACTTGGCTGCCTTTCGCTTGTAGTCCCAGCTACTCAGGAGGCTGAGGCAGGAGAATGGCGTGAACCCGGAGGGTGGAGTTTGCAGTGAACAGACATCGCGCCACTGCACTCCAGCCTGGGCGACAGAGCAAGACTCCGTCTCAAAAAAAAAAAAAAAAAAGAACTTGGCTGCTTTTCTTCTACTGTTATTGCTCTCCTACTCCTTCTCCCTCTTTTGTTTCTACTTCCTCCTTCGGCTTCTTTTTGTCTTCCTCTTCCTCCTCCTCCTTCTCTTACTTTCCACTTTGTTTTGGATGGGCACAACTAGGCAAGTGAAGCTACATTTTATGAAAGCTGATTGCATCAAAAACAACAAAAAATGTTTTTTGGAGTAAATGTATTATCTGACAAGCAGTTACTGGAATTTCATCATGCCAAGAAATATGTACATGAAGGGTCAATCTTCTAAGCAACTAATCTACATATAATATTTTGAAATATTCTGATATTTGACTGAATGTTAACTCTCTAGTTAGTTTTTAGCTATCTATGTGCATCTTTGTTGGTATATTGGTTCCACGCATGTTTCCAACTTTGCTATAAATAGTATTCTCCAGAAAAGTACCAGATGATCTCTTGAAAAATCAGGTAACTTTTCTCTTTGTTCTTTAATGCCTTTCATTTATTGAGCTATATGCTTTAGGAAACAAAATAGAATGTTTAATATGTAAGCATATGAAAAAATAAAGAGATTTTGCCCTCATATAAATGTCATCTAAATAACACTTATATGCATGTGTGGAATTAAGCAAAGTGAATACAATAATATGTTTATGCATCTTGCTCCTCTTTCACTATGTCTACTCAGCTTAAATTCAGTGAGAGTAATATTAAAAATTCATAATGAAATTAATATACACATAATCTTTCAACATGCAAAAAATATTTTAACTTCTATGGAACATTGAGCAAAAAGAGACTAGTTTACTTTCATAATATTTTGGGGGAGCTGTAAGTTCCTTAAAAGAATAATTTAGAAGCCATTCTATGGACACCGAAGTATAAAAATATGTTGGAACATTAACACCTGAGTTGTAACTTTCATTTTTAACAGACTTTCCTCTTTAGTCACAACTGTTGCTTATATTCATATGTAAATGCAATAAAATAGCTGTCATTAAATAATAGTATGGATTAAAGCTGGGTTTCACTTAATATTTACCTAGCATTAGAGGCATTTTGAGAAGTGCTGTAGTATTTTTGGTAAAAAATGGTTGTTATGAATAGGGAGAATTCCCCATAATATATTTATCTAAAATGTTTGGCATTAGAAATATAGGAACTGTATGGAATATCAAAATTGCTTTTAAATTGTTACAAATATTGAAATAAATCTCAGGATAGCAATGCTCACATCATACAAGTCTGTCCCAGAATTTCATCATAAAACAAGTTTAGGTATGAGATTGTCCTGGATTTATTAAATTGTTTTTTAATTAGGCTTGCAAATATCTAATTTATAAATTGCTTTATGTGCTGTGTGTGTGTTTGTGTGTTGTTGTTGTTGTGATTTGTTGGTTCTGAATATTGCCTTATAGTAGAGGTATAAAATAAGGCCTGAATTTGACAGTGAATATATTTGTTAATGTAAATTAGGTTATATTCTAGTAACAAACAACCTCTCCCTAAATCAGTGTCTTTATAATACAACATTGCCTCTCGCTTACTACATATTTCACATGGAAAGAGAATAGATTATTCCATACTCAATGACTCAGGATGAAGAAAGCACTACTTTCTTCTAACTGCAGTATTTGAAACACATGGCCTAAACCAGAGATATTTGGAGTAATTATAAGAAATCTTATTGAAATCAGCATAGAAATCACACACACACACACACACACACACACACACACACACACACACTGCTTTCCTTCACGGTTCTTTAGCCAGAAGGAGCTGCAAGATCTCACAAAAACACAGCACATCTGGAAAGTGCAGGCTTCCTTCTATCTGAAAGAACAAGTGAAGCAGCTGTGAGAATGCACCAGTAATATCTATGATCTATGAAATTTCCTTTCTGTTTCATGAATCACAAGACCTTAAATAGATTAATGTGTAAGTTGTTTTTCAGGTCTCTAATATATTGTATGAGGGTGCACAGGGGTAGAGGGGAGTAAAAGTAGAATAAAGTGTCAGGATAAATATCTAGTCCAAATTAGCTTTAAAAAGAATATAATTTATATTTATATTATTAGGACAACATTTTGGTATGTCCTAGAATTCAGAGCCGATTCTTAGGTAATTTGGATAGAATTTTGTTACTTTCAACAAAAAGTTCTAATTTGATTACCATATGGTTTTTTGATGTATATAATTTTATTCCAGTTTTTTGAAATTTGGGAATATATCTAGGGAATGATGAAAAAAATTGTAATAGCCTGCATTTTAAAGCAATCACTGTGTTCTAAGTACTATGCTGTATATATTTTACCTCATTTAAGTTTTCATCACATATGTGAGGTAAGTATTTACCCCCATTTTACAGATGAGGAAACTAGGTATCAGGAATTCAAATAAATGGCTCAATGTCATACAGCTAGTGAATTATCTAAGTAGTAAAATATAGCTAGTGAGCTGAGATTTTAAATCCAGATTTACCTGATTCCAATAACTTCAAAGCCCATGTACCTAAATATAAAATTATTTTCACCAAATATACATGAAAATGTTATAAAAAGTTAATTAACTGATTATTATAACAGACTAAATAACTGATTAAGTTAACTGGTTAACTGTTAAATAACAGATTTATTATTATAAGTGTTATAAAAAGTTAAATAACTGATTATTCCCCAACTCTGCCAGCAAGCAAAGACTTATGCTATGTATGTAAATTGAAATCATAGTTAATGAAGACCTGTAATCAAATTTGTGAGCAATAAACTCAAATAACCTAAAATTTTAAAGTAGCAGTGTGGAATGGAATTTACATTCTTTATTGTTGTTGTTGAGACAGAAATAAACAAAAGCAAAAATTAACAAAGCGAATTCTCTAATTCTGAAGTGTCGTGCTATTTACATTTCTCATTTGAATTACTTCTACAACAGTTACAGTTAAATGATATCAATTCCCTGAAAATTTCCTGAAATAAAATATCTGTGGTTCATCTCTCCATTTTTGCCCATATCTGAAATTATCACTTTATTATAGTAAGGCAGATGTAAATTTTTCATTTTGTCCACTTGAAACTGCATTTTTTAATCTTTAGTTGAATTTATTTATTTTTTTCTATTTTTAGTTTTATTGTATTTTTATTTTTATTATTATACTTTAAGTTCTAGGGTACATGTGCACAAGGTGCAGGTTTGCTACATATGTTTATATGTGCCATGTTGGTGTGCTGCACCCATTAACTTGTCATTTACATTAGGTATATCTCCTAATGATATCCCTTCCCCCTCCCCCGCCCCCACAACAGGCCCCAGTGTGTGATGTTCGCCTTCCTGTGTCCCAGTGTTCTCATTGTTCAATTCCCACCTATGAGTGAGAACATGCAGTGTTTGGTTTTTTGGCCTTGCAATAGTGTGCTGAGAATAATGGTTTCCAGCTTCATCCATGTCCCTACAAAGGACATGAACGCATCCTTTTTTATGGCTGCGTAGTATTCCACGGTGTATATGTGCCACATTGTCTTAATCCAGTCTACCATTTATGGGCATTTGGGTTGGTTCCAAGTCTTTGCTATTGTGAATAGTGCCGCAATAAACATACTTGTGCATATGTCTTTATAGCAGCATGATTTATAATCCTTTGGGTATATACCCAGTAATGGGATGGCTGGGTCAAACGGTATTTCTAGTTCTAGATCCTTGGGGAATCGCCACGCTGTCTTCCACAATGGTTGAACTAGTTTACAGTCCCACCAACAGTGTAAAATTTTCCTATTTCTCCACATCCTCTCCAGCACCTGTTGCTTCCTGACTTTTTGGTGATCGCCATTCTAACTGGTGTGAGATGGTATCTCATTGTGGTTTTGATTTGCATCTCTCTGATGGCCAGTGATGGTGAGCATTTTTTCACGTGTTTTTTGGCTGCATAAATGTCTTCTTTTGAGAAGTGCCTGTTCATATCCTTCACCCACTTTTTGATGGGGTTGTTTGATTTTTTCTTGTAAATTTGTTTAAGTTCTTTGTAGATTCTGGATATTAGCCCTTTGTCAGATGGGTAGATTGCAAAAATATTTTCCCATTCTGTATGTTGCCTGTTCACTCTGATGGTAGTTTCTTTTGCTGTGCAGAAGTTTTTTAGTTTAATTAGATCCCATTTGTTAGTTTTGGCTTTTGTTGCCATTACTTTTGGTGTTTTAGACACAAAGTCTTTGTCCATGCCTGTGTCCTGAATGGTATTGCCTAGGTTTTCTTCTAGGGTTTTTATGGTTTTAGGTCTAATATTTAAGTCTTTAATCCATCTTGAATTAATTTTTGTATAAGGTGTAAGGAAGGGATCCAGCTTCAGCTTTCTACATATGGCTAGCCAGTTTTCCTAGCACCATTTATTAAATAGGGAATCCTTTCCCCATTTCTTGTTTTTCTCAGGTTTGTCAGAGATCAGATAGTTGTAGATGTGTGGTATTATTTCTGAGGGCTCTGTTCTGTTCCATTGTTCTATATCTCTGTTTTGGTGCCAGTACCATGCTGTTTTGGTTACTGTAGCTTTGTAGTATAGTTTGAAGTCAGGTAGCATGATGCCTCCAGCTTTGTTCTTTTGGCTTAGGATTGTCTTGGCAATGTGGGCTCTTTTTTGGTTCCATATGAACTTTAAAGTAGTTTTTTCCCAATTCTGTGAAGAAAGTCATTGGTAGCTTGATGGGGATGGCATTGAATCTATACATTACCTCGCAAAGAAGCTAAAAACCTTGAAAAAAGATTAGACGAATGGCTAACTAGAATAACTAGTGTAGATAAGTCCTTAAATGACCTGGTGGAGCTGAAAACCGTGGCACGAGAACTATGTGATGCATGCACAAGCTTCAGTAGCCGATTCGGTCAACTGGAAGAAAGGGTATCAGTGACTGAAGATCAAATGAATGAAATGAAGCGAGAAGAGAAGTTTAGAGAAAAAAGAGTAAAAAGAAATGAACAAAGCCTCCAAGAAATATGGGACTATGTGAAAAGACCAAATCTACATCTGATTGGTGTACCTGAAAGTGATGGGGAGAATGGAACCAAGTTGGAAACACTCTGCAGGTTATTATCCAGGAGAACTCCCCCAGACTAGCAAGGCAGGCCAACATTCAAATTCAGGAAATACAGAGAACGCCACAAAGATACTCCTCGAGAAGAGCAAGGCCAAGCCACATAATTGTGAGATTCACCAAAGTTGAAATGAAGGAAAAAATGTTAAGGGCAGCTGGAGAGAAAGGTCAGGTTACCCACAAAGGGAAGCCCATCACACTAACAGCAGATCTCTTGGCAGAAACTCTACAAGCCAGAAGAGAGTGGGGACCAATATTCAACAATCTTAAAGAAAAGAATTTTCAACCCAGAATTTCATATCCAGCCAAACTAAGCTTCATAAGTGAAGGAGAAATAAAATCCTTTACAGACAAGCAAATGCTGAGAGATTTTGTCACCACCAGGCCTGCCTTACAAGAGCTCCTGAAGGAAGCACTAAACATGGAAAGGATCAACCGGTACCAGCCACTGCAGAAACATGCCAAATTGTAAAGACCACTGATGCTGGAAAGAAACTGCATCATCTAATGAGCAAAATAATCAGCTAACATCGTAGTGACAGGATCAAATTCACACATAACAATATTAACCTTAAATGTAAATGGGCTAAATGTTCCAATTAAAAGACACAGTCTGGCAAATTGGATAAAGAGTCAAGACCCATCAGTGTGCTATATTCAGGAGACCCACCTCACGTGCAGAGACACACATAGGCTCAACATAAAGGGATGGAGAAAGATCTACCAAGCAAATGGAAAACAAAAAAAAGCAGGGGTTACAATCCTAGTCTCTGATAAAACAGACTTTAAACCAACAAAGATCAAAAGAGACAAAGAAGACCATTACATAATGGTAAAGGGATCAATTTAATAAGAAGAGCTAACTATCCTAAATATATATGCACCCAATATAGTTGAATTTATATGTTATTATATAATTATTGATTTAAAAATGTACCTTACGATAAGATATATCTTAGATTCAGAATGGGAATAACATAATTGCTAACATGTCTATGTATGAAGCTTCTAGGTAAATATTTGACAAAAGTGAAGTAGGCATTTATTTTAATCCTGTCTTTTGAAGAATGGTAAAATAGTCTTCAAAGGAAAACCAGCCCCTTCATTGTCCTGGTTTGGTACTTGAAATCATCAGGATAATTTTTTATTTTAAGATCCTTCCTAAAGTCTTAAATTTATGTGATTGTGTTATAAGAGTTATCTATACTATCTGTTATTTACATTAATGTTATCTACAATTAAGGCTATCTTCATTAACAAAAACAGAAAATATTTTCTAGAACAATTTCTGACTACAGTCTTCTAGAAAAGAGAAGGCGGCTTTAAGAAAAGGAAAGGCAGGATGGAAGAATTTTAAGGGATAGAAGAAACAGTAAAGAATGCAGCCTTAGGCCAAATTAGCATATGATGATGGATTATGGACCTAAGCCCTCCAGAATAAAGCATAAAAATATTGGTGGATAGGAGAAAGCAATAAAGAGAGAAAGAAGAGTTATCCAACGGGAGAATGAACTTGAAGTAGGCCAGTCAGGAAGTGTTCCTGAACCAGTGGTGTGCCCAGAACTCAAACCATAATCATAATATTTATCCATTAAATTTTGTGCGTCTTTATTTTAAAGAAACCGACCTTCTCAAATCCATTTTGAATCATTTTCATGAGAAGTAGGGCAGTCAGCCTAATGTATGTCAGTATATCTGAATTCCCAGTAGACTAAGGTGTGTTGCGACATTGTAATATATTTAGTAAACTCATATTATGTCTCTTCCAAAACACAAGTTAATCATACTGTATGACAAAATAATATG
Source organism: Homo sapiens (assembly GCF_000001405.40). Taxonomy (NCBI): domain Eukaryota; kingdom Metazoa; phylum Chordata; class Mammalia; order Primates; family Hominidae; genus Homo; species Homo sapiens. Next base: position 3,273,493 of record NC_000024.10, on the reverse strand, counting down.
AACATATTGTTATTACAAACTTATTTTTATGACTAAAGTTAGAGATTCAAATAGAGTAGTTAGATTCCTAAACTAGTTTTTTCTCTGCCCTACGAGGCTAAGCCAGGTGTTCTGGGTCTTTTGCCTCTCCATATAAAGCTTAGAATCACTTTGTCAATATCCACCAAATAAATCGCTGGGACTTTAATTTTGATTACAATAAATTTATAAATCAATTTGAGAAGAACTGAACATCTTGACAACATCAAGTCTTCCTATTCATGAAATGAAATATCTCTCCATTTATTTAGTTTTTCTCTGATTTCTTCATCAGAATTTTATTTTCCTCATACAGATTTCATACATATTTTATTAGACTTATATCTGAGTGTTTCAATGTTGGTGGATGGTAATGCAAGTCATATTTTGTATTCAGTTTCAAATTCCACTTGTTCATTGCTGGTATGTAGGATTTGTGTATTCAGTTTCAAATTCCACTTATTCATTGCTGGTAGGTAGCATAATAATTGACATTTGTATATTAACCTTATATCCTACAACCTTTCTGTGATAACTTATTAGTTTGGGAAGTGTTAATTTTTCACTCAGTCTTTCAGATTTTCTACATTGACTGTCATGTCATCTGCAAAAAAGACAGCTTTATTTCTTTCCTCCTGCTCTATATACCTTTTATTTCCATTAATTGTATTATTGCATTATGGAGGACTTCCAGTAAATGTTAAAAATGAGTAATCAGAGCAAACAATCTTGCCTTATTTCTTATCTTAGTGGGAAAACTTCAGGTTTCTCACTATTAAGAATGATGCTAAGTGTAGGTTTTTTTGTAGCTATTCCTTATTGAGTTGAAAAAAGTCCCCTCTATTCCTAGTTTGCTAGAACTTTTTATCATGAATAGGTTTTGGATTTTGTCAAGTGCTTTTTATGCATCTATTTATGTAATCATGTGATTTTTCTGTATTAGCCTGTTGATATGATTAATAGCATTAGTTGATTTTTTAATGTTGAACCAATCTTGCATACCTGGGATAAATTCTGCTTGGTCATGGGATATAATTATTTTTATACATTGTTGGATTTTATTTGCTAATATTTTGTTAGGAATTTTTGTATCTATGTTCTCAAGGCATATTGGTCTAGGTTTTTGTTTTTTGTTTTTTTTTGTAATGTGTTTCTCTGATTTTGGTATAAGGGTGATGCTGGCTTCATAGAATGAGTTAGAAAGTGTTCCCTTTGTTTCTATCTCCAGAAAGAGATTGTAGAGAATGGGTGTAATTTCTTCTTTAAATGTTGGATAGAATTCACCATTGAATTCATCTGATCCACCTCATGCTTTCTCTTCATGGAACATTATTTGTTATTGATTCAGTTATTTTAATAGACGCTATTGTTTGGCTCTCTGTTCCCACCCACATCTCACCTTAAATTGTCATAATCCCCACATGTCAAGGGCAGGACCAGGTAAAGATAAGCGAATCATGGGGGCAGTTACCACATGCTTTTCTCATGATAGTGAATGAGTTTTCATGAGATCTAATGGTTTTATAAAGGGCTTCCCCCGTCACTTGCCACTCATTCTCTCTCCTGCCACCCTGTGAAGAGGTTCCTTCCACCATGATTGTAAGTTTCCTGAGGCCTCCCCAGCCATGCAGAACTGTGAGTCAATTAAATCTTTTCTTTATAAATTACCCAGTCTTGAGTATGTCCTTATAGTAGTGTGGAGAGTGGACTAATACAATAGACATAGAAAGATATAGATTGCTTCTGTTTTCTTGTGTGAGTTTTGCATGTTTTTTGTGTGAGTTTTCTTGTATGAGTGTGTCTTTCAAGAAATTTGTCTACTTTATCTAGGTTGTCAAATTTTAGGCATAGAATCGTCTGTAGCATTTCTGTATTATGTTTTAATGTTCATGTGAATTGCAGTGATGTCTAGTAATTTACATTTTCTGTCTCTATTTCTCTCTTATTGCCAGTCGGCTAACTAGAGGATAAATGATTTTATTGATCTTCTCAAAGCACTAGATTTTGGGTTCTTTGATTTTCTCTACCAATTTGCTGTTTTCCACTTCTTTCATGTTTGTTCTAATTTATACTATTAATTTTTTTCTGCTAACTATAAATTTGATATGCTCTTTTTTCCTGCTTTCCAAAAATGGAAGCTTAAACGATTAATTTTTCACCTTTCTTCTTTTATAATGCAGCTTGAGTATCCTTAATTCAAAAATACAATATCTGAAGCTTTTTTGGGGCCAACATCGTGCTTAAATGTAATGATCACTTGATGGGGCCAACATCGTGCTTAAATGTAATGATCACTTGATGATTTTGGATTTCAGATTTTGGATCAGATATGCTCAACCAGTAAATATAATGCAAACACTCCAAAATCCAAAAAAATCCCAAGTCTGAAACTGTTATGGTGTCAAGCATTTTTGATAAGTGATATTCAAACTGTATATGAGTTTAATGCTATACATTTTTCTCTAAGCACTGTTTTTATTTCAACCTACACATATTGATAAATTGCATTTTAATTTATATTTAGTTAAAAAATTTGTTTAACTTTTATTTTAGGTTTGGGGGTACATGTGAAGGTTTGTTATGTAGGTAAACATGTTTCATGGTGATTTGTTGTGCAGATTATGTTATCACCCTGGTATCAAGCCCAGTACCCAATAGTTATTTTTTTCTCCTCCTCTACCTCGTCCCACTCTCCTCCCTTAAGTAGGGAGGGCCCTGTGTCTGTTGTTTCCTTCGTGTTCATAGGTTCTTATCATTTAGTTCCCACTTACAAATGAGAACATGTGGCATTTGATTTTCTGTTCCTGAGTTAATTTGCTAAGGATAATAGCCTCCAGCTCCATCCATGTTCCCATAAAAGACATGATCTCATTGTTTTTTATGGCTGCATAGTATTCCATGGTGTATATATACCACCTTTTCTTTATCCAATCTGTCCTTGATGGACATTTAGGTTGATATCATGTCTTTGCTATTGTAAATAGTGCTGCCATGAACATTTGCACATGTGCCTTTATGGTATTTAATTAAACTTAAGAGCTTCTATACAGCAAAATAAACTAATAATAGAGTGAGCAGACAACCTACAGAATGGGAGAAAATATTTGCAAACTATGCATCTGACAGAGGCCTAATATCTAGCATCTGTAAGAAACCTAAATTTACAAGAGAAAAACAACCCCACTGAAAAATGAGCAAATGACACAAAAAGACACTTCTCAAAAGAAGACATACAGGTGGCCAACAAGTATATGAACAAAAGCTCAACATCACTGACCATTAGAGAAATGCAAATCAAAACCACAGTAGATATCATCTCACACCAGTCAGGATGGCTATAACTAATCAGTCAAAAAATAACAGATGCTGGTGAGGTTGTGGAGAAAAGGGAACACTTATACATTGTTGGTGGGAGTGGAAATTAGTTCAACCATTGTGGAAAGCAGTAGGACAATTCCTCAATGAGCTAAAATAGAACGATCATTCAATCCAGCAATCCCATTACTGCGTATATATCCAGATGAATATAAATTATTATACCATATAGTTCAAAATATTTTAATGTCTTTTGATATTTTTGACCTATGTGCTATTTATAAGTTTATTATTTAATCTCCAAGTATTTTGGGGTATCCATCTCTTATTATTGATTTCTAGTTTAATTCCATTGTGGTCTGACAGCAGACTTTGAGTGATTTATATTTTTAAAAATTGGTTAAGATATATTTTATCACCAAGAATATGGCTTATCTTGGTAAATGTTCCATGTAAGCTTAAAAAACATGTATTTTGTTGTGCTTGGATGAAGAAGTCCATAGATGTGCATTAAATATTAGAGAGTATTTTAAATCCAGGAATGGTCATACTACAACGGGATGACTAGATTTCATTCCAGCCTATCTATCTGTTAAGATAGAAGATAGATGTAAACTGTAGTGGAAACATTATCAAACTCTTTATTGAAAAAAGCCATGGAGAGATTATAGATTTTTCTTAGGACTATTTTTCATGACTGTTCAAACTCTGATATTATTCATCTTCTACATTTATATCAATTATTTATGTCAATTATTTATTATACATTTGTTTTTCTTTTGTTTTTCTTTTCTTTTGTTTGTTTTGTTTTCTTTTTCTGCAAACTTTTTTCTTTGCTGATATCTTCTCTTTATAAAAAGTCAACCCTGAAAATGGGGTAATATATTAACTAGAAAATTATGAGCACAAAAAAGCTAGAAACATCTTCCTTAAAGTCAAGAATGATACAATGCTACTCATGCTTATTGCACTTTAATTATGGATGTCCTAAAGATTACAGTTATAGAGAAAAAACAAGTCAGGCATAAATAAGTATATAAAAGTCAAGTCAAGCATAAATACATATTAAAAAATAAGTCAAGCATAAATAAATGTATAAAAGAGCATAATAATTATCTATTTTTGAAGGTGATGTAATTGAATTTCTGGGAAGCAGATCAAGTTAATAATAATGTATTGTGTATTTTGACACTGCTGAAAGAGTAGATTTTAAACTTTCTCACTACAAAAAAAGTAGGTGAGATAAAGTTTATGTTAATTAGCTTGATTTAATATTTTTATAATGTATATATATGTATATATCAGAACATCACATTGTGCTCCATAAATATATACAATTATTATTTGCCAATCAAATATATTGGCCAAATGATCTTAAGATTTCCAACCATTCCCTCAAATCACAAAAATGCAAAATCATGTTTTCATAACTTCAATTTTACAGTGTTGGTTCTAGAAACTAATGATAGAAATTAAATTACACATAAATACATAGAAAGATACAACATTGCATGAAAAGAAAAACTCAGCATTGTTAAGATGTCAATGCTACTAATAATTATCAATGTCATTAATAAAATGGAGCTACAGATTCAATGTATTCCTAATCCAAAATTCCAGCAGGCAAGTTAGAGAAATTGTTAAGGTGACATAAGACATGTATGGAAACAAAAATGACCCAGAATAACTAAAATAAAATACATATATACAGAATATGTGAATGACACATCTCAATAATAAAAAGACAAATAAATTAAATGGACATTTCTTCAAAGAAGATATAAAAATGTCCAATGAGCCATTATTACATCATTATTCATCAGCAAAATGCAATGAAAACCACAATGAAATATTCCTTCACACTCACTAAGGTGGCTAGAATCAAAAGTCAAATAAAAAAAGTTTTCCCTTGGTCATGGAGAATTTGGAACCCTCATACACTCCTTGTGGAAATGTAAAAATGATGCAAATACTTTGTGTAAGAGTCTGGCAGTTCCTCAAATGATTCAACACAGAAATAACAGATGACCCATTGATTACATTCTGAGGAAGATAAAATGAAAGCATATGACCATACCAAAACATTTAGAAAATTGTTTATAACTGCATTATTCATAATGGTAGAAACAGCCAATGATAGCAACAAGCCAAAAGTTCAATTAGCAAGTGTATAAAAAATGTGGTATATTTATAAAATAGGATATTATTTTGTCTTAGGAATAAAACACTGATACATGCTACAACATGGATGAACATTCTTCTAAGTGAAAGAAGCCATTCACAGAAGCCTGCCCATTATGTGATTCCATTTGTAGAAAATGTCAAGTGCTGGGAAATCTATAAAAACAGAAAGCAGATTAGTGTTTCTCTAAGGTGAGGGAAGGTGAGGGTAATTGATAAGTGGTACTTGTTTTTGTTTTGCTGTGAGGAAAATGCTTTGAAATTGATTGTGGTGATGGTTAAACATAAATGTGAATATATTAAAAAAACATTAATTTGTACTGTAAGGACTAAGGGAATACTGCCCCTTCACCCTCTGAAAGTTCACTAAAAAGCAACCAAAAAAAGACAGATTAATAGGAGGAACAGCATACAAATTTATTTGATCAATTTTGCATGACACAGGAACTTTCTGAATGAAGATCCAAAGATACAAGGGAAACTGTCCAGTTTTATACTTATAAACAGCAAAGTATAGATGCCATGTAGACATATGTTTGCACAAAAGGTTTATGATGTATTTCTAATAGACTGAGTAGAAAAACCTGGCAAGGCTGGTCTGTTTAGATTCTTCATGGCCTCTCTGTGCAGCAATCCTTCCTCCTGGGATAAGACAGAACCTTCTCTGGAATGGAGGTCTGATGACCTATAATCAAACATAGTCGATCAAGTGATTTTTTTACGGCAAGTTTTTACACAGAAAAGTGGTGGAAGGAATACATAATCGTTTTAGGTTTTGTGTCTGGCTTTAGAGAAAAGGGTTTCTGGTTTCTATGACCCACCTTGAATTAGTTGAGTTTCTAAGATCCACCTTCTACTGTCTATGGCTAGCTTTGAGGGAGAATGAGAGTCAGAGACAGAAGGGTATGAGAGTGTCAGAGAGAAACTATTGCTTCTGAGGCTACTTCTGAGACCTTCATTCTTAGCACCAACATTCTCCATTCTGAAACTTCCTTAAGAATTTTCACAGTCCAGAAATTAGGTCAGTGGATTATCTTATAAGCCATTGACTCAGTCTCTCAGTCTCAGAATAGGTCAGTCCAGTTAAACAGTTAAAGCTGTGTCTCAGTTCAGGCAGTGGTGTTGAAGATGGTCTTCTACCAATGTCAGGCCTCTATATGATTTGAGCAACCAGATATTTAATAAAGGGTATTTCTATGTAAACAAAAGAAAAGCAAAGGTTAATGGCTAGAACAAACTATAAACTCAATTTTTGAGTCCAAAAAGCAGCCAGTTGAGAAGAATGTTAGATGTTCAGCTTGAGGCATATTTGGATGGCATGAGAACAGATAGTGGTAATCTGACAGAATTTTCCTGGTTTGCAGTTTCCAGTGAACACCTGATGCAAACTGCAAACCAGGAAAATTCTGAGTAGTATACTCAATTCTAGGCATAGAAGTTGCCTATACATAAGCTCTTGCAGTGATTTCTATGAAGTTGATATCAAATTCTCCAATTTTAGTTTGCAGGATTTCAGGAAAGAATAGTTTTAATTTCAGTGATTTCAAATAAAAGCTGTGGGAGAAAAATGGCAAATATTAGTTCAGAAAGTCATAGTCATATATTGGAGAAAACTAAAAAAAAATTCAGGATTCAATTCCAGATTTGAGATTGATAATAAAACCTCAAAAGCAATGAGGTAAAGTCTATTAATAGGTGTACTATAGCATTTTCCCCTAAAACCTGTTTTTTTTTTTCTCTCTACAGTCACCCCCTTTTTTTTTTCACCAAAGATAATCCTGGTAAGACTAATTCGTTTCCAAAGTAAGTTTAGTATTTGGCCTGATTATTTTTGTAAAGTACAGTAATAATAGTTACTTACTATATAGACTTTTTAGAAGTTGGCTTTGCTAAAACTTTTTAATAAGGAATTTTAGGTCAGGTATTTAAAAGTCTCTTGAGGCTGCGAAGCCCAACCAAGGATTCACCTTCAGACTGTTCCTGTAATATCTGTATAAATTCGGTAATTTCCTCTCTTCTCAAGATCCCAAAATATATTGGGATTCCTAAACCTGTCAGAAACTGACATTATTTAGTAAATACAAGGATAAGAATCCTGTAAGGCTATCATGTAGACGAGGTACCAGATTAGTCATTTTCCAAGTCTATTGGCTTTATGAAGTAAGGATAAGTTCCTCAAAGTAGTCTGGTCACATTTGAAAAGACGACAATTTATTTAAAGCCATTTGTATGCCTTCTTTTGTGGAATATCTATTCAGATAATTTTCCCATTTTGTAAATTGATTATTGTGTTTTGGTGTTGGGAGTTGAGTTCTTTGTATATTCTGGATATTAATCCCTTATCAGATGAATAGTTTGCATATATTTTCTCCCATTCTGCAGATCATCCCTTCACTCTGGTGATTTTTGTTTCCTGTGAAGAAGTCTTTAGTTTGATATCTTATTATTTGTCTATTTTTGCTTTTGTTGTTTGTGCTTTTGAAGTCTTATCTATAAACTCTTTGCCCACACAAATGTCCTGAAACATTTACCCTATGTTTTCTTCTAGTAGTTTTATAGTTTTGGGTCTTACGTTTGAGTTTTTAAATCATTTTAATCTAGTTATTGCATATAGTGAGAGGTAAGGGTTTATTTTTATTCTTCTGCATATGAATATCTAGTGTTCTGAGCATCATTTATTGAACAGGTTTTTCTTTTATCAATGTATGTTTCTGGTTCCTTTGTTGAAAAGCAATTAACTGTAAATACATAGATTTATTTCTGGGCTCTCTATTCTGTTCCATTGGTTAAAGTGTCTGTTTTTATACCAGTATCATGTAGTTTTAGTTACTATAGGTTTGTATCATATTTTGATGTCAGGTGGTGTGACATCAGGATGTTCTTTTTCTCAGGATTGCTTTGATTATTTGTGGTCATTTTGTGGTTCCATACAAATTTTTGGATTTTTTTTAATCTTTGAAGAATGTTAATGGGTATTCTGATAGAAATTGCATTCTGTCTGTAGCTTCCTTTGGGTAGTATGGTCATATTGACAGTATCAGTTCTTCCAATTCATGAACATAGAATGTCTTTTTATTTTATGTGTGTCCTCTTACATTTATTTCATTAGTGTTTTATAGTATTTGTTGTAGAGATTTTTAAATCTCCTTGGTTAAATTCATTCCTTGGTATTTTTGTAGCTATTACAAATGGGATTTCTTTCTTTTATAAACTAGTTCGTTATTGGTGTGTGTATATATATAATTAATAATAATAATTTAATAATATACTTTTAATTATATATCCATATGAAAGAAACTAGAGCTAATAAATATATCCCTATAAAAAACACAAACATAAAGCAATGTTTTCTTTCAGCACTTTGGCAAGAAAAGTATAAGATTAACATTGTATTTCTTTTTGTGTTAGAATGTATGAAAACTGTCATGCAGTAATGTATCATGTTAAACCAGCAACATACATATGTAGACAGCACAAAAAGCTGTCTACATAAGAGGGCTTCTATTAGTCACAAACAGAATAAAATATGTAGTAGACTAAAATACTTTAAATGTATAAAATTGTATATTCATAATTATAATGATATGATTTAAAAAGCCAAAAAAAGCTCATTGAACTCCTATAGAAATAAACAAGAAAATACCAGTGTTGCTCTAAAAATTTGCTTTGTACCTTTAGTGATTTTAATCAGCTTGGATATTAAAAAAATAAATCTAATATATGAAACATGTTCAGATTTGGCCAAAAAAGTCTCTGAAAATTATGTGTAATAAGAAGGAATAGCTCTAGTGCATATTAAAAACAACTGTTAATCTCTAATAATAAAAATATGGGTACTGAGTTATAAATATAAATTAGTTCAGTGGAATAGACTAGAGAAGTCATAATAGGCCTAAAATCCACTAGGGGATTTTGAATAACATAAAAGTGACATTTTCAATAGGCATGAGAAAGATAGCTTATTTGATAAATCATGCTTAGGAAAAAGAATATTACTTGGAAAACTATACTGTTTACCTGTATCTCACTTCTTACACTACTATATATTTCAAAAAGGTACAATATAAACACAATATTAAAAATAAAATAAAAACAATAACAGAGGCCACAGTTCAGATACCCCAAGGCTATGATTACAACCATCCATAGCTATACAATCAAAACTAAAGTCATTCTGATATCCCCCAAAGCACTTTTTTCCTCATCAGTATAATTCAAAAAAAATTAAACCAATAAGCTATAGACAAATACGTTTAAACAGTTCTATTTGACTTCAAATAAATGTATGGCCAACATAGCAAAACCACATCTCTACAAAAAAAATACAAAAACATTAGCTGGGCGTGGTGGTGCATGCTGTTAATTCCAGATACTCAGGAGGCTGAGGCAGGAGAATCACTTGAACCTGGGAGATGGAGGTTGCAGTGAGCTGAGCTTGTACCACTGCACTCAAGCCTGGGCGACAGAGTGAGACTCTGTCTGAAGAGAGGAGAAGAGAAGAGAAGAGAAGAGAAGAGAAGAGAAGAGAAGAGAAGAGAAGAGAAGAGAAGAGAAGAGAAGAGATGGGACAGGACAAGACTGAAAATAATTGAGCTAAATTCTAAACTCAGGAAGTTAGAAAAAAACTAAAAACAAGCCAGATAACGTGTGTGGAAGTGAAGGATAGAATTAAGGGAGAGTAAAAGCAAAATCAATTAAATTGAAATGTTACAAAAAGAATGGCCTATAATCTAACTAAATAAAGTCATATCAGCTGCATAATTTAAAAAAATAAAACTCAAGTCCAAAAAATGAGGTATGTCTCATAGAAAAGACATACATATCTATCTATCTATCTATCTATCTATCTATCTATCTATCTATCTATCTGTATTGACACAAGTAGAAGACCACATTAGGAATGACAAATAAAACATAACTACAAATTTGTATATTTAAAAGTTACAAAATAATTATATGTATGTATTAGTCTGTTCTCATGCTGCTAGTAAAGACATACTCGAGACTGGGTAATTTATAAAGGAAAAGGGTTTAATTGACTCACAGCCACATGGTCGGGGAGGCCTCAAAATCATGGCTAAAGGTGAATGAGGAGCAAAGTCATGTCTTACATGGTGGCAGGCAGGAGAACTTGTGTAGGGGAACTCCTCTTGATAAAACCATCAGATCTGGTGAGACTTATTCACTATCACGAGAACAGTATGAGAAAAATCCACCCCCATGATTCAATTACCTCCCACCAGGTCCCTTCCATGGCACATGGGAATGATGGGAACTACAATTCAAAATGAGATTTGGGTGGGGACACAGCCAAACCACATCAATGTATACATATATAATAATAAAGTTCCAAATATGAAAAAAGTGAGGTTTTTGTCAGGGAAACACATGGGACTCAAAATGTGATCCAAAATAGGTTGATGCTTTCTTGTCTTTACTAAAAATATGTCTTGTATGCTTGGAATATAGGTACTTAAACACAAAAAAAAAGGTCATCAAGATTACTTACTGTTATAGCTATCATAAAATACAGTATCACTATTTTCATTGCACGTAAATATACACCATACTTGAAAAATTTTGTTGAGAAAGCTTAAAATTATTTTTTAAAATGGCTTAATGGCTAAATAGTTTATAGTAAAGTTTCCAAGTCCAATACATATTTAAACCAAAGTATTAATATATTAGGACCCTTAGAATCAATACTATGTAATTAGAAAGCAACCACTTTACCTAATGTCATAATTACCTCTGAATTTTAGATCCAATAATGGTGTTACCTACAAGACATAATCATTTCAATCTAAAAAATAATAACAATGTTTTTTCTGCACTAGTACCTGGTGACAGGTTTGTCTAAGATCTGTGGCAATGTGTGTAGTGCACAGAAAGCTAGAAGCAACTTTTCAACTTTAAATTGCAAGGGAAATGTGTATGTAATGTATTTGCTCTTCTGGATGTCTAGAAAAACAAATAAAATGTATTTATTTGAATTCACAAAATCAACAAGACTGTCTAAAATCTGGAGCTTAAACTTTCCTTCTTTTGACTTGCATGTTAATGTATTCATGATTTCCTAATTCTAAATGTGTTCTAACAAAAAATAAACAAAATGTCTAGTTTATTCTGTAGTAATAGGATATGCTGTTCAAGAGCAATGAAATTTTAAGAAACATAAATTTGTAATCCTGTTTCACTGATTCAATCCTTCTGTAAGAAAGAAAGAACATTTTGTATGATTTTATTTACAATATTACATTGTGATTCAGCAACTTAGTAAAAACTCAGGCTTCCTGAACTTCCAGAAATTCAAATGTATTTAAGGAGCTTAAATGATATATTTGTTTCTTTTTTATTATGTTGCTTTATTTTGTTTCATCCTTGCTTCTTATTTTAAGTCCAAAGGGAAAATACACAAATTTTTTTAAAGTTATAGGAAGAAAATAAATTTCTGACAAGTTTGAAGCTTTCTGTAATTCATTTAAGCTTACCACAAGAAATACATTTTATTTCCTCAAGAAAGCATTGAAATGATGTAAAGGAAAAAGATAATACATTAAAAAGATGGTTGGAGAATTCCCTTGTCATGATAAATGTTTATTTGAGGCATAATATAGTATGCCTTAAATAACTCAGTTAGCAGTTTAAAATTTTAGAAAAATGTATTAAAACCATGTTGGGACTGCTATAAAGAAATTCCAGAGACTAGATGATTTATAAAGAAAAGAGGTTTACTTGGCCCATGATTTTCTAGTCTGTCTTAGCATGGCTCCATCATCTGCTTCTGGTGAGGGCCTCAGGAACCTTACAATTATGGTGGAAGGTAGAGCAGGAACAGGCACATTACATGGTGAGAGCAGGAGCAAGAGAGCCAGAGAATGAGAAGAGCAAGCCAGGCTCTTTCAAACAGTTACTTCTCATGTGAACTCACTCATCACCAATGGTATAGTGTGAAGCCATTCATGAGGGATCTACCTGCATGATCAAATCACCTTCCACCAAGTCCTACCTCCAACATATGATTTAGAGGGGACAATATCCAAACTAGGTCATTGCATCCCTGCCCCCTCCTATCTCATGTCCTTTACACATTGCAAAATACAATCATCCCTTCTCAATATTTCCCCAAAGTCTTAACTTGTTCCAGCATCAACTCAATCAAATGTGCCAAGTACCAAGTCCAAAGTCCAAGATCTCATGTGGAGATGAGTTCCTTTTACCTATGAGTCTATGAAATCAAATATTTTACTTCCAAGAAACAATGGTGGTACACACATTGGGTAAACATTTCTGTCTTAAAATAAAGAAATTGGCCAAAAGAAAGAGGTAGTAGGCCCCATGCAAGTCTAAAACCTAACAGGATAGGCATTATATCTTTTTTTTTTTTTTTTTTTTGAGACGGAGTCTCACTCTGTTGCCCAGGCTGGAGTGCAGTGGCGCCATCTTGACTCACTGCAACCTCTGCCTCCCGGGTTTAAGTGATTCTCCTGCCTCAGTCTCCTGAGTAGCTGGGATTACAGGTGCACGCCAACAGGCCTGGCTAATTTTTGTATTTTTAGTAGAGACAGGGTTTCACCATGTTGGTCAGGCCGCTCTCAAACTGCTGACCTCGTGATACACCCACCTTGGCCTCCCAAAGTGCTGGGTTTACAGGCGTGAGCCACCATGCCCGGCCAGGCATTATATCTTAAAGCTGCAAAATAATTTTTGACTCCACGTCCCACATCCTGGTTTGAGGGGTGGGATACCAAAGCCTTGGACAGCCTTGTCCCTATGGCTTTTCAGGGTGCAGACTTGTGGCTGCTCTCATGGGTCGGAGTTGAGCATCTGTGGCTTTTGTAGGCCCAGGATACAAGCTGCCTGTAGCTCTACCATTTGTGGTCTAGAAGGTGGCAGCCTCCTTCCCACAGCTGCACTAGGCAGTACCCCAGTGGAGACTGTGTGTGGAGCCTCTAATCCCATATTTCCCCTCTGCACTGCTCTGGGTAGTTTTTCTGGGGGCTATCCACCCCTGCATTACTCTTCTGCCTGAAAACCCAGGCTTTCTGACATATTCTCTGAAATCTCAGGGGAAGGTGCCAAGCCCCCTTAGCTTAGCTCTTGCATTCCTTGTGCCCACAGACTTAACACCACAAGAAATCACCACCAAGGCTTACAGTAGCTTGCACTCTTCAGAGCTGCAGCCTGACCTGTATGTGGGCCCCTTTGAGCCAAGGCTGAAGCTGGAGAAGCCTCCTGGGGTGATACAGGGTAGCAGGGCCCTGGGCCTGGCCAGTTAAGCCATTTTCTCCTTCTAGGCCTCTGGGCCTGTGATGGAAGTGGCTGCCTCATAGATTTCTGGAATGCATTTGAGGCCTTTCTTTCCATTGTCTTGGCTATCAGCACCTGCTTCTCTTTTAGTCATGCAAATCCCTCTAGCAAATGATTGCTCTGCCAACTTGGATTCTTCCTCTGAAAATGGACTTTTTTTTCTACCACATGGCTAAGCTGCAAATATCCCTACTATGATTATCATGCATATAATGAACTATTATGCTCTGCATCACTTTCAAATATGCATTCAAATTTTAAGTATTTTCTTTGCTCCCACATCTGTGGTAAGTGGTTAGAAGCAGCCAGGCCACATCTTGAATGCTTAGTGGCTTAGAAATTACTTCTGCTGGATACTTTAAGTTATTACTCTTAAGTTGAATCTTCCACAGATTCCTAGGTCATGAACACAATGCAACTAAGTTTTTTGCTAAGACATAACAAGGGTGACCTTTGCTCCAGTTCCCAATAAATTTCTTATTTCAATCTGAGACCTTGTTAGCCTGGACTTCACTGTCCATATTACTATAAGTGTTTATTTTTATTTTTATTTTTATTTTGAGACAGAGTTTTCCTCTGTCACCCAGGCTGGAGTGCAGTGGCACACTCTCGGCTCACTTGAAACCTCCACTTCCCCGGTTCAAGTGATTCCCCCCTACCTCAGCCTCCCAAGTAGCTGGCATTATAGGCACCCACCACCATGCGCAGCTAATTTTTTGTATTTTTTTTAAATTCCTGACCTCAAGTGATCCACCCACTGAGGCCCCCCAAAATCCTGGGATTACAAGTGTAAGCCACCGGGCCCAACCCACTATCAACATTTTGGTCACAACTATTTAACTAGTCTCTAAGAAGGTCCAAACATTTTCTCACCTTTATGTCTTCTTCTGAGTCCTCTGGTCTCTTCCCACCTCTGTCTATTACTCAGTTCAAAAGCTGCTTCCCCATTTTAATGTATCTTTATAACAACGCCTCACTCCTTAGAACCGTATTTCTGGGTTCGACCATTTTTGCATTGCTATAAAAAATACCTGAGACTGCATAATTTATAAAGAGAAGAGGTTTAATTAGCTCGTGGTTCAGCAGTCTGTACCAAAATGGCTCCAGCATCTGTTTTCGTTGAGGGTCTCAGGAACCTTACAATCATGGTGGAAGGCAAAGTGGGAGCAGGCATGTCACATAGCAAGAATAGCGAGAGAGAGGGAGTGAGAGGACGGGGCCAGAGTCTTTTAAACAATCAGCTCTCATGTGTACTCATTCATCACCAAGGGGATGGCACTAAGCCATTTGTCAGGGATCTGCCCCCAGGATCCAATCACCTTCCACCACACCACACCTCCCACCTTGGGGATTACATTATAACATGAGACTTGGAGGAGACAAACATCCAAACTATATTGAAATATAATATTCAATAAAAGAAAAAGCTAACACACTAGTTTATAATCTAAATAAATAGCTGTTACATATTTTAAAAGAGTAAACCCAAAGACAATAAGTGAAAAAACATTTTTATGTCACACCCTTATTATTAGTATTTTATTAACAAACTGAAAAGAGCTAACCAGTTAATAGTGAATATGTAAACAGTAATTGAATCATTTGGCTTCTAATAGAAAATAATAAGATCAAGGGATAAGAGAGTTAGAAATATTTCCTGAATAAATTTTAATATTCCTTCCTTATTAATGTCTCCTCTTGGCCTTCTAACCCAAGTCATCATGAATAAAGAGGAAAATAAAGAAATAAACCATTTCATATTTGCAAAATCCACAGATTCTCCACCATTGACTTCCTGGAATCCCATCATAACTGACTCTTTATAATGACTTTTATTTCTGTTAATACTGGTCACTGTAAGAGGCCCTAGTTTTCCAGTCTCTGGACACCTCTCATACCTTTATCCAATAAGATTATGCATGGCTCTTACTGTGTTTCTTTCTGATACCTTTCCCTAACTCTGGAAGCCTCATCTTTCTGCTTTTTGATACTAACATTTTATCATCCTTAAAATCTCCTATATTCCTAACCTCCTTTGTTATATTCCTTCTTCTTACTCTAACAGAAAACGGAATATTTCCTAAGGACACTTTATGCCATAGAACCTTCAAAAATAATGACTGTTTCGTTTTGTTTGCTTTGTATTTCTCTAAGAGTCTTCATCTTACTGAAGACTGGAAGGCATTAAAGGGGTGTAATATGGTTTGGCTCTGTGTCCCCACCCAAATCTCACCTTGAATTGTAATAATCCCCATGTGTCAAGGTCAGGACCAAGTGGAGATAATTGAATCATGGGGGTGGTTTCCTATGCTGCTCCCATGATAGTGAGTGAGTTCTCATGAGATCTAATGGTTTTATAAAGGGCTCCCCACTTTGCTCAGCACTCATTCTATCTCCTGCCACCCTGTGAAGAGGTACCTTCTGCCATGATTGTAAGTTTCTTGAGGCTTCCCCAGACATGTGGAATTGTGAGTAAATTAAAACTCCTTTCTTTATAAATTACTCAGTCTTGGGTGTTCATAGCAGCATGAGAATAGACTAATACAGTAAATTGGTACCAAGGGAGTGGGTTGCTGCTATAAGGATAACTGAAAATGTCGAAGCAACTTCAGAACTGGGTAACAGGCAGAGGTTGAAACAGTTTGGAGGGCTCAGAAGAAGACAGGAAAACATGGGAAAGTTTGGAACTTCCTAGAGACTTGGAGGGCTCAGAAGACAGGACGATGTGGGAAAGGTTGAAACTTCCTAGAGACTTGTTGAATGGCTTTGACCAAAATGCTGATAGTGATATGGACAATGAAGTCCATGCTGAGGTGGTCTCAGATGGAGATGAGGAACTTGTTGGGGACTGGAGCAAAGGTCATTCCTGCTATGCAAAGAGACTGGTGGCATCTTGCCCCTACCCTAGATATCTGTAGAACTTTGAACTTGAGAGAGATGATTTAGGGTATCTGGCAGAATAAATTTCTAAGTGGCAAAACATTCAAGAGGAAGCAGAGCATAAAAGTTTGGAAAATTTGCAGTTTGACAATGTGATAGAAAAGAATAAACTATTTACTAGGGAGAAATTTAAGGCAGCTGCATAAATTTGCATAAGTAATGAGGAGCCAAATGCTAATTGCCAAGACAATAGGGAAAATGTCTCCAGGACATGCCAGAGACCTTCAGGGAAGCCCCTCTCATCACAGGCCTGGAGGCCTAGGAGGGAAAAGTGATTTCCTGGACCAGGTCCAGATTCCCCCTGCAGTGTGAAGCCTCAGGATTTGGTGCTGTGTCTCATCTGCTGCAGCATGGCTAAAAGGTGCCAAGGTACAACTCAGGCCATTGCGTCAGGGGATGCAAGCCTCAAGCCTTGGCAGCTTCCTTTGGTGTTGAGCCTGCATGTGCAAAGATGTCAAGAACTGAGGTTTGGGAACCTCTGCTTAAATTTCAGAGGATGTGTGTAAATGCCTGGATGTCCAGGCAGAAGTTTTCTGTGGGGGCAGAGCCCTCATGGGTAACCTCTGCTAGGGCACTGCAAAGGGAAATGTGGGGTTGGAGCCCCCACACAAAGTCCCCCTGGGGTACTGCATAATGGACCTGTGAGAAGATGGCCACCATCCTCCAGACCCCAGAATGGTAGATCCACCAACAGTTTACACCATGAACCTGGAAAAGCTGCAGACACTCAATGCTAGCCTGTGAAAGCAGCCACGAGTGGGACTGTACCAAGCAAAGTCACAGGGGAGGAGCTGCCCAAGGTCATGAGAGCCCACACCTTGCATCAGCATGAACTGGATGTGAGACATGGAGTCAAAGGAGATCATTTTGGAACTTTATTGACTGCCTTGTTGGATTTCAGACTTCCATGGGGGCCTGTACCCCTTTGCTTAGGCCAATTTCTCCCATTTGGAATGGGTGTGTTTATCCCACTGCTGTACCCCCATTGTATCTAGGAAGTTACTAATTTGCTTTTGATTTTACAGGCTCATAGGCAGTAGGGACTTGCCTTGTCTCAGATGAGACTTTGGACTTGGACTTTTGGGTTAATGCTGGAATGGATTAAGATTTGGGGGGACTATTGGAAGGGCATGATTGTGTTTTCAAATGTGAGGACATGATATTTTGGAGGGGCTAGGGGCAGAGTGATATGGTTTGGCTCTGTTTCCGCACCCAAATCTCACCTTGAAGTGTCATAATCCTCATATGTCAAGGGCGGGACCATGTGGAGATAATTCAATCATGGGGGTAGTTACCCCCATGCTGTTTTCATGATGGTGAGTGAGTTCTCATGAGATCTTATGATTTTTTAAGGGGCTTCCCCCTTCACTCAGCACTCATTCTCTCTCCTGCCACCCTGTGAAGATGTGTCTTCCACCATGATTGTAAGATTCCTGAGGCCTTCCCAGCCAGCAAAACTGTGAGTCAATTAAACTTCTTTTCTTTATAAATTACCCAGTCTCAGATGTTTCTTCATAGCAGTATAAGAATGGGCTGCTTTAGAGTGGTAAGCATATTTTTTGCTACTCATTGAACTTTTGAATCTATTTTCTCTACTCTTTTGTCCTTTCATGTCAACAGATTACATGAGTGTTCTCTGTTCTGAGAATTTGATAGAGGTCAAGGCAGATAAAATTTCTTTCACCATGGAAAATAGTTTTCATTCAAAATATACTTATAATAAAGCTGAGTAAATAGACAATAATAAATGTCTATATATTTTAAGGATACACTATTTGATCTCAGTGGATAAAATAGTTATGATATATTTTGTTGGTGAAAACTTAGTCTATTCAAAGAGAGTTTCAATCACATATTTAATCTTAGTTGGCATATACTCAAAATTTGCATAATCCAGTAACTCTATTCACATAAAGACGTAAAAAGCCATGTGAAAAAGGTGAAAAAGGGTGAGATCTGATGTGTAAAAAGAGAGATTATAAAAAAAGAAAAATGAAACATTGAGAGGAAAATATATTAAGAAGTTAAGCTTTTAGATTTCTTTTTTGATGAATTTGATATATAACATCACCAGACCCTTATTAAACTATATGTAATATAAAATATCCAGAATGTAATTTCACTTTTAAAAAAATGACATTTCCTAATAGAAGAAAAAATTACACAAAGAGATAAGACTGTTTCTATGCATATGTGATTTGAGATAACCTTAAAATATTAGTTTTTGGAGGTTTTTTAAATTGTTCCTAGAGAGGTTAAACATGAATGAAAGACTACTTCCAACATGGTTTAGAAGAATATGAAAGGGAAATCCTAGAGAATTATTTGGAAAATATGAAGTGCTTTTAAAATTTTAATTAATAATCACTTTAATAGTTATAGGAGTCATTTATCAGTAAACTGATCACTGTTTTGTAGGGGAGAATACTTCCCTATAATGTATATAGAAATAGAGTGTATAGATGTAAAGATTCACTGATGCCATTATTTTCAAGTCATTTGCAGAGTAGGGTTAATGTGTGTATGTAAACTATACCAGTGTATATGATATGGTTTGGATCTGTGTCCCCTCCCAAATCTCAGGTTGAATTGTAATCCTCAATGTTGGAGGTAGGGCTTGGTGGGAAGTGATTGGATCATAGAGCTGTTCCTCATGAAAGGTTTAGCACCACCCCCTTGGTGCTGTTCTTATGATAGTGAGTTCTCACGAGATCTGGTTGTTTAAAAGTGTGTAGTACCTCTCCACTTCCCGCTCTCTCTCTTGTTGCTGTGGCCATGGGATGCCTTGCTGCCCCTTTGCCTTCTGCCATAATTGGAGGCTTCCTGAGGCCTCCCTAGAAGCAGAAACCACTACACTTCCTGTACAGCCTGCAGAATCATGAGCCAATTAAACCACTTCTCTTAAAATAAATTACCCAGTCTCAGGTATTACTTTATAGTAATGTGAGAATGGACTAATACAGTGTATGTGTATAAATGTGTATGTTAGTGTAAGAAAGCACTTAAAGTTATTTGAACTAAAAATAATAAGGCCATTAATACATTTATATTTTTCTTGACTTCATTTACTTTTATGTTTAT
This sequence comes from Homo sapiens, assembly GCF_000001405.40. Classification (NCBI taxonomy): domain Eukaryota; kingdom Metazoa; phylum Chordata; class Mammalia; order Primates; family Hominidae; genus Homo; species Homo sapiens. The sequence continues at coordinate 3,253,648 of NC_000024.10, read as the reverse complement.
TTAAATGGCAGGGTTCCTTATATTGATAAGGCAAAAATAATACTGCCAAGAAAAGTTTTATAGAAGAAGCTTGGCTGGGCATGGTGGCTAATGCCTGTAATCCCAGCACTTTGGGAGGCCGAGGTGGGCAGATCACCTGAGGTCAGGATTTTGAGACCAGCCTAGGCAACATGGAAAACCCCGTGTCTACCAAAAATACAAAAATTAGCCAGGCATGGTGGTGTGCTCCCGTAGTCCCAGCTACTTGGGGAGGCTGAGGCAGGAGAATCACTTAAACACAGGGGGAGGAAGTTGCAGTGAGCCGAGATCTCGCCACTGGGGAGGCTGAGGCAGGAGAATCACTTAAACACAGGGGGAGGAAGTTGCAGTGAGCCGAGATCTCGCCACTGCCCTCCAGCCTGGGCAACAAAGTGAGACTCTGTCTCAAAAAAAAATAAAAAAATAAAAAAAAAATAAGATGCTTCCTATAATTTTCCTAGTTTTGTAAGAACTGGATTGACAAGACTTTAAACACTTTCCTTCTTGAAAAATGTCTTCACATTTTGTAAGTTTGAAATGGTTACCTGAGATGCACTTTATTGTTCTAACATATACCTTTCTCATAGGTGAATTTTAAGCAATTATACATAAAATATAGCAGAAACACAAAATAGTACAGATGTTTCCTAACTTAGATAGTTCTTTGTGTATGCTTCCACTTTTATTACGTTTCTTTTCATTAAGAAAACTTAACCTCAATGCCCTAAAACTAGAACCCTGTTGCCTAACTGAAACTTCCCCGAGACCATGCTGAATAAATTGGTAAGTGAGGAAAATATAGATATCAATGGTTCCATAAATATTTAACTTTCCACAGCATTAACATTATATAGTATTCAGTCATTCCTGCACACTAAATAATAATATTTTTAAATTATATAGTTCTAAACTTGAATGCCATTTGAAGATCCTTGGAACTATGAAATATCCCTATATTTGCTATTGGGTAAAAATACAAATGCATACCAAACTTCACTAAATATATACATGAAGAATTGCAACCTTTCCAGCCATGCATACAAATTCTCCAAAAGACAATATAAAAAGTAGGTTATATACTGGGTGTTTGTTTTTAACATACTTAATGTTTGTAAAATACTTCAATGTTTGTAAAGCAAAAAAAAACTATGTAGTAAAGAAAAGCATGGTGGTTAAATTACCAACCTTGATATTGTTATTGAATAAATTGTGTTTTTAGAATAAGAATGTCAAACTAAAAGTTGTGTTTCCTTGCAGAAACAAAAATTCAACCTTCAAAGATGCAATATGCTCTCATGCTTAGCAAACAATTTCAACTGGATGAGGGTCAGCTATGTATTCTAGCTGACACAAGTTGGAGTCTAAAAAAGGAAAAGTCAGAGAAATTAGGCAACTTTTTTTCTTAAAAATATTAATCAACATTTTATATATACTAGTTTTCTCCAGTTTTAATATTATCATTCCTTTTTTAGCTTATGATATTTGATAAATATTTACATCTATTTTAACAAAACCTGGTTTGTCCAACTAATATAGTATTTTATAATTTATCTTTTTACTGTATCTTCTATTGTCATTTAATTAGAAAAAAACTTAGATTTATAAATGTCTTTTGTTTTATTTACAGTTAAAACAGCCACAGTTCATTTACAATTTATCCCAAGAGAAATTTTAGGTTAACTAAGTTAAAATTCAAATGACTATTTCCTGCTTTTTTTAAATCTGAGAGTCACAGATAAAAAGTATTTTAAGAAAATAGCATAATAATTTATTGTCTATTTGTTTTGATGACTTTCACATAATAGTTTTCACTCAGATATTTTTTCATGTGATCATTAATCTTTAACATTTTAATCTTCATAGCTTAAGCTTCCTTAAAGTCTAATTATTATGTTTAATGTTAACGCATTAAACTATAAAATTAGAATATATGCATATATGTATTTAATTTTATACTTTTAAACTATGAAAGTACTGTATGCTTGTTGTAGCCATTGAAAACATAAAGAGATGTATAAAGGTCATATACTAGCGGTGCCAATAGCTTCTCTAACTTCCAATGCTCTCCTGCCAAGATTACTAAAATTAACTTTTTGGTATGTATCATTTTCTGTACTTACACAAGCAAATACTAGTTCAACGAGCATAATATTTCTGAAATATTTTATATTTTAAGTTTTTTAAAGCCAGTATTTTTCTTACACCCTTACTCACTTACCCAAGGGATTATAGTGAAGTGAAAGGAAAATAGGACATAAAGTTTCACCTAGAGAGAAAATAACAGAAAAATCAATATTTTCTGATATTGAGGAGATATAAATTTAATTCATTTTTAAAGGAACCATCTTTTGGTTTCATTGGTTTTCTGTATTGCTTTTGCTTGTTTTCTAGTTCATTGATCTATGCCCCTTTTTAATATTCTTTTTTGTTTGTTTAATTTGTGATTCTTTTCTAATTTTTCAAGGTGGAATTTTAGATCACTGGTTTTTAATACTTTTATTATTATTCTTTTCTTATATAGGCATTTAAAGCTAGAAAATTCCTAACAAGTGCTGTTTTAGTTGCATTCCACAAATTTTAAATACATTTTATTATGATTTTGTCATTTCAAAATACTTCCTAATTTATTTGTTTGATTTATTCTTTCACCCAGAGATTATTTAAAATTGTGTTCTTTAATTTTCAAATAATTGCAGTTTTTCTTTTTATATTATAATTCATTTCTAATTTATTTCATTTTGGCAAAATAATAGACTCTTTCAGATTTTAATCTTTTTACATTTATTGATCCTTGTTTCATTGCCAGTATATGATCTATACTAATAAAATAAAACACGTGTACTTAGAAATAATATATACCATACTTACCAGATGTATGCTATTTAAATATCAACTAAATCCAAGTAACTATAGTGTTGTTCTGATCAAAGAAGTGTCTATTTCTGTGTTCCACTGATTTTGTGTTTGTGTCTCCACATACAATAATGATTTTTTCTATTTCACCTTGCAGTTCTACCAGTTTGATCTTATGTGTTTTGACACATTTTTCTTAGGTGCATACACATTGAGGATTATCATGTCTTCTTGGAAGATTGATCTGTTTATGTAATGCCCCACATTATCGCTGATAATTTTCCATGCACTGAAGCCTGCTTTGTTATTATAACTACTCCATATTTCCTGTGAGTATTTCAGCATTGTATATCTTTCTCAATTTTTTAACTTTCAATTTATCTGTTTTCATATTTCAAGTGGATTTCTTGTAGGCAATATATATGCTGGTCATTTTTTCTTTATTAAATCTGACATTTTCTGTTCTTTAATTGGTGCATTTAGACCTTTAACATTTAAAGTAATTATTGGTATAGTTGAATTATCTATATGTTTTCTATTTATTGTCCATTTATGTATTTATTTAATTTTTCATTTATTTTCTGGCTTCTCTTGTTTTAATTGAGCAATTTATGGAATTCTCTTTTCTCTATTAGTATGCTAACTTATAACTACTTTTTTATTTCAGGTGATTGCTCTGCTAAGACTAGTTTTTTGCTAAGGTTTTTATATGTCAAAAAATATTTTGTTTTGCTTCACTAAGGATAGTCTTAATAGACATTTTTAAATACTTGTCTGTTACTTTTAATACGTTGTTCATCTTAAGGTCAGAATTCACTGTGATTTTTTTCTGTTTGTTTTGTTTTGAGACACGGTCTCGCTCTATCAAGTAGGCTGGAGAATAGTGGCTCAACCATAGCTTACTGCAGCCACTGTAGCCTTGACCTCCTGGGCTCAAGCAATCCTCCTACCTCAGCCTCCTGAGCAGCTGGGAATACATGTGTGTGCCACCGTGCCTAGCTAACTTATTATTTTATTTTGTGGAGACAGGATCTCACTATGTTGCCCAAGCTGTGATTTTATTTTCTTTAAGACAGTGTGCTGTTTTCTTGGTTCTTCATATATTGGGTAATATGATATTACAGATGTTAAGTTGTCTAGTTTCTGGATTTATTTATTGTCATTATTATTTTTATTTTTTAATTATCTTTCTCTAACGAATATTCTATTTCTTGTTTTAGTAGGTTGGCTCTTTTTTTATTTGCTTCATTAGTTTCACATATGGATTCTTATCCAGTACTTCCAACTCCCTTCAAATTTCCGTTTTTATGTCTTTATTTAGGTTTATTAGAGTCTGGTCTGCCCGTTAATGTTTCAATTGCCTTAATAGAGATGTGAGTAAACCATGTTTAGGGATCCCCTTTGTGGCTCTTTTTCTACCAAAATTCCTCCATTCTCTTAGGCTTCCTCAGATTCACATCTTCCCTTCACAGTGGAATACTACAGACTGTAATTAGCCCTAGGCCCTGGAGGCATGAACTGAGTTCTCTATCTGCCCTCATCCATGGTACATCCCCTATATGAGTCTTTCTGCCTCTTTTCACTCTCAATAACTCAGGTGGTTGCTTTTTAAAATTATTTCTAGGGTTTTGTTGACAAAAAGAGTCAAACTCTATAAAATATTTGAAGATATTTATTTTGAGCCAAATGTGAGTGACCAATGGCTTATGCCACAGTCTTCAGGAGACTGTAAGAACATGTGCCCAAGGTGGCCAGGCTACAGCTTGGTTTTATACGTGTTGGAGAGACATAAGACATCAATCAATGCATGTAAGACATACATTGGTTTGGTCTGGAAAGGTGGGACAACTGGAAGCAGGGGCTTTCAGGTCATAGGTGGATTCAAATATTTTCTGATTGGCAATTGGTTGAAGGAGATATTATCTAAAGACCTGGAATCAATAGAAAAGAGTGTCTGGGTTATGATAAGCCATTATGGGGACCAAGGTTTTATCACGCAGATGAAGCCTCCTGATAGTAGACATCAGTAAAAATAAACATTAAATGTTTGTTACCAGACTTAAAGAGTCTGTTCTATCAGTCTCTGTGTTGATGTTAATGCTGGTCAGATGTACTGAATTCCAAAAGGGAGGAGGGCCCACTGAGGCATGTCTGACTCTCTCTACTCATCATGGCCTGAACTGGTTTTTCAGGTTGACTTTGGAATGCAATTGACCAAGAAGAGGGGTCCATTGATATGGTTGAGGGGCTTAAGTTTTATTATTAGCTTATAGTTTGATATCATATCTGAATGCAGAAAATGTGGTCGCCTAATTTTTGACAAAACATCCACACACATTAAATGAGAAAAGCCTAAAATTTTTACCAAATGATGAAGAATAAATTGACTTTCTGCATGGAAAAAATAAAACTTGAACCAAAGAAAATATTTCAAAATTGTATATTAGATAAAGAATCCTGGTATCTAAAATGTAAAACAAAACATTATAACTTTCAAAGAAGCCTAGGCAATAAAAAAATGGAGAAAATTTTTGAAAGACATGAAAGTTGTTTAGCTTGATTGTTCATCACAAAAATGCAACTAACAGCCATAATTTTATACTGCTACACACAAACTAAAAAGGCTAAATTTAATAAGATTTATAATCTGAAGTGATAACAAGAAGGTGGAGCTACTAATTTCACATATTACTTCTAGAAATGCACAATGCTACAACTTATTTGCAGAATTGTGTATCAGCTTTGTATAAAGTTAAGTACACACCTACTATATTGCCCAGTAATTCCACTTTTAATTAAAATAAATGAAAATATATATCATCAAAAGACTAAAATAACTACTCATAACAAATATTTCATAGTAGCTAAAAATGTAAACAACTGCAATATACACGAATAGGTGAATACATCAGTGAATATGGGTATAGTCACACAATAAAGTAATTTTCAACAATATAACAAAATATTGATACATACAAACAACCTAGATAAGCTTTCAAATTATTATGTTGAACATTAGAACCAGACAAAAGAATATCTATGGTGTTTTATTTCATTAATATGGAGTTCCTTTTTTTTTTTTTTCGTTTTTTTGAGATGGAGTCTCGCTCTGTCACCCAGGCTGGAGTCCAGTGACACAATCTCCTCTCACTGCAACCTCCCCCTCCCAGGTTCAAGCGATTCTACTGCCTCAGCCTCCCAAGTAGCTGGGACTACAGGCACATGCCACCATGCCTGGCTAATTTTTTTGTATGTTTAGTAGAGACGGGGTTTCACTGTGTTAGCCAGTATGGTCTTGATCTCCTGACCTTGTGATCCACCCGCATCAGCCACCCAAAGTGCTGGGATTACAGTCATGAGCCACCGCGCCCGGGCCAATATGGAGTGCTAGAAGATATAAAACAAACCTGTAGTGAAAGAAAGATTTGTGTTTGCCAGAGGCCATTGATTTCATTTAAATTTATGCATCACATATCAAAAATTTAACGTGATGTTAAACTTTTATTAGATCAAATTTCAGTTAAAATTTCTCTGTAAGGCTGGGCACGTTGGCTCATGCCTATAATCCCAGCACTTTGGGAGGCCAAGGCAGGCAGATCATGAGGTCAGGGGTTCGAGATGAGCCTGTCCAACATGGTGAAACCCCATCTCTACTAAAAATACAAAAATTAGCCAGGAGTGGTGGCAGGCACTTGTAATCCCAGCTACTCGGGGGACAGAGGCAGGAGAATTCCTTGAGCCTGGGAGGCAGAGGTTGCAATGAGCTGAGACTATGCCATTGCACTCCAGCCTGAGCAACAGAGTGAAATTCCAACTAAAAAAAAAAAAAATTCCCAGTGAAAATTTTATCCAGAGTTATATAAATTCTTATTGACCAAGTTATCAGTCTCTACCATGTGAATAGATAATTGAGAGTTGGATGTACTAAATAACTTCTAATAGTTTCTCCAAAAATAAGGCTGTGTAGCAGGATAGAATCTGCAGGTTTTGCGACCAGGCATGGTGGCTCATGCTTGTAATCCCAGCACTTTGGGAGGCTGAGGCGGGTGGATCATTTGAGGTCAGGAGTTCGAGTCCAGCCTGGGCAACATGGTGAAACCCAATCTCTTTGTATTTTGTAAAAATACAAAAATTAGGCAAGTGTGGTGGTGTGCACCTGTACTCCCAGCTGCTCAGGAGGCTGAGGCAGGAGAATCACTTGAACCTGGTGAAGGTTGCAGTGAGCTGAGATCATGCCCCTGCACTCCAGCCTGGGCAACAGAGTGAGACCCTGTCTCAAAAACAAACAAACAAACAAAAAGAATCTGGACATTTTAAGATGATACTCTTCTTTCGTATTTTTTTTTCTTTTTTTCACATATAAAATGAGCAACATTCATTACCCTTAGGGAGAGTGCAGGTAGAGCCAAGAATAAAAAGTCATTGCTCAGCAATGATTTTAAGATAGAGATTCTAAAGTCAATGACAGAGAAAATAGTCTGAAGGTCAGTACTCTTGATTTTCAGAGCCAAATTCTTGAGACAAAGTCTATTCTGAAATTTTAAAATGTGTTTTGCTGATTAATAGCTACCATCTAATATTGAATCACCCTTATATTCCTCAAATACATTCTACTTGTAGGGTCAAATGGAAAATTCCCCTTCACCCTCTAAAAGTTCACTGAGAATCAACTGAGAAAAGGTAGACTAATAGGAGAGAAGACTTAAAGTGTATTAGTGTACATGGCAGACGAGGGGAATCACGGATTGATTACCCTATCACCCAATGGCATACAGATGCTTATATCCATTCTTCTTAGGGAAAAGGAAGATGGGGAAGTATGGATGATTTTCAGAGGGCAGCAATTTTTGTTTTTCAGGAAAATCCAATGGCAGAAGCTCTGTTGGGCCCATACAACAAACAATGGTTTATGACGAAAGTCTGAGCAGGTGTTTTGACAGCCTTCAGTTTTTCTTCCTGTGATATGAGTTCAGTTAATGAAACTCAGGGAACGGACCAGAGGTAATTGTTTTCTTCTTTGGAAATATGAACTATAGGCAGAAAATAGAACTTTGGAGACTAACTTTATCCTGTGCTTTGGGAGTGATGGAAGATGGGTGGTGTGTAGAGGTGTGGAAGGTCAGAGAGACCTTGAAACTTCTGCTTCAGCATGTCAAAGCATCATATTACTTTGGGGCTATCAGTTTCTGAGACTCAGCATTATATTGCTGGATTACATCTACTAAGTAGTTTAAAAAGTTTACATCTATATTGATAAGTGAAATTGGCCTATAGTTTTATTTCTGTACTATATTAAATTTTTAGTATTAAACTTATTGTGACCACATACACTATAGTAGAGAATTACTCGTCATTTTCTACCATCTCATAATATAATAAACATTTCAATAACCTATCCTTTTAAAGATTAGATGGAACTGATACATCTTTTAGTATCAGTTCTAGATTAGATAGAAAAGATACATCTTTTAGTGGTTCCCTTTTCAATAGAAAATTATAAATCAACTTTCTAATCTGTGCTGTGGCAATTGCTGAATTTAAGTATTTTTAAAGTTAACTTTATTGATATTTTTCTAGGAAATCATTCTTTTGTTAAAGGTGTCCAAATTTATTTTCATAGATGTGCATATATCAAATTCTTAAAAATGTTAAATTACTAGTTATGATTCTTGCCTTTTCTCATTTATATAATCAGCTATTTTAGCTCTTTTTTCCTCATAAATAATTTATCCATTTTACTAAACGATAAAAAAGAGAAAATTATTTCCACATACACATCCAATTCATTATATTTCTTTATTTATTTACTGTTTAATTAACTTAATGTTATCTATTATGTTAACTAATTCCTTTTTCTTTCTTTTGGTTAATTTTGTCATTTTTTTCTAATTTCTCGAGAGTAGCAAACTCTTATTTTTTTGGTTTCTTCTTGTAATTAAAATAAAGTTTTAATTTTTTCTTTGAGAATTATATTTCATAACTTTGGATATAAGGTGTTTTTATCAATTCATGCTACATATATGTTTATATTTCACTTTTGATATTCTCTTTTATTGAAATTTTATAAGGATGTTTCAGATATCCACACAGTTAATGCTTTTTGTTTACACTTTTCATTATTGCTATTTTATTATTGTTTTCTGATTGTGTTGAATTATTATCATATATTGTAAGGATTTTATAATTTTCAGTTATATATTATATATATATTACTTTCAAATATACATATATGTATATTTTCAAATATACATACATTATTTATTGCCAAGCATATGATTGATATTTTCACCAAATATTGCATGGATAGAGAAAAACATAAATATATCTAAATTAAGGTTGTAGTTGTGTTTTACATTTATTTTCTATGATGTTTGGGGTACACCAGACATGTGAGGGTGTTAGAAAAAATATGTCCCCACTAGTTTACATAGCGTTGCAGTCACATATCTTTATGGATTGACTAAGATTCATAATAACATAGGACAAAGCACTCTGTACTCCAGCATGAGCTGGATCTCAATACCCATATATGTTTGCAGCCAATAACTTATGTAGTGAACTCTATGTACAACCAGAAATGGCAGCCCTACCTGACTTATAATTGTCAACTTATGATTTAACAAAAATGGCTCATTTTATCATAATGTAATATCTGATGTCTAAGATAAACATTTTCACTTGTGCTTTCTTTTTCTCTGCATTTTTAGGTAGTAATTTAAGACATTTATTTTCAAACTTCTTTTAAAATGTATTTTACTCTTTTCACTATTCTTTTAGGTTCAGAAATACATGTGCAGGTTTTTCATAAAAGAAATTGTACATTGTGGAGTTCTGATGAACATATTATTTCGTCACCCAGGCAATATACATAGTACCTGATAGGTAGTTTTTCAATCCTCACCCGCCAGCCCACCCTCCACCCTCAAGTAGTCCCTGATTTCTATAGTTTCCTTCTTTTTGTCCCTGTATATTCAAAGTTTAGCTCCCAGTTATAAATAAGAACATGCAGTATTTGGTTTTCAATCTTGCATTAGTTCACTTAGGATAGTGGCCTCAGCTCCATCCATGTTGTTGCAAAGGACATGATCTCAGTCTTTTTATGGCTATGTAGTATTCCATAGTGTACATATACCACATTTTCTTTATCCAGTCTACCACTGTTGGGCATTTAGGTTGATTCCATGTCTTTGCTCTTGTTAGTACTGAAGCAGAAGTTAAAAAGGGAAAAAACAAATTTTCTTCCTTTTCTTTGGTATGAGCAGCTTACCTCTTTAATCCCTCCCTGCTCCATGCCCTTGTACCCTGCTCTGCAAGTTTTTATGAGTTTATACATTCCTGTTTTCTGTAACTAGTGTCTGTAGCACCACGGAGGTCATGAGAAATGCTTGAGCAAGCTTAGATTTCAGCCATCTGGGCTCCATTGAGAAAGACATGAAATAAGATTGTGCAAGCATCTTGAGCAAGCCTAGATAACAGCCACATGGCCCGCATAGCAAGAGTCACATGAAAGCCTGAGTTATGAGCCTGTCACTTTTTGTTAAACTGTCTTTGTTCTACCCGCTTTCACGCCGCTGCATTTCACACCACAGATGCATGTATAAAAGTCAAGCCCTGTATTTGTCTGGGGCTCGGCCTTTTGGGTGCAATCCTGCTGAACCGCTGCACCTAAATAAAATCCTCCTGTTCCACCCTATTGGTCTTTCCCGTCTCCTGATTCCCGCGACATTTTGGTGAGCCAGCCAGGAGTTGGAGACAACAGGTTTGCTGTCTCCTTTGCCTGTGGGTCTGGGGCCCCAAGCCGGGGGGAGACCTATGACCTCAGGTGCCATCGTGGGAAGTTAACCTGGAGAAGGGATTGGTTCTCCTGTGACCTGGTGCCCCTCCCAGTCTGCACAACGGAATGTAAGGGGCTTCAGGATGATTCCAGGGACAGTGTGCTACGGGACCACGGTAAGGTTTGGGGCCCAGGACAGGACTCGTCCCATAAGGACAGAAAGGGAGCCTGATCACCTCCCGGGGGTGCGTTAAGTATTCTGACCTAGGGCGCGAGAGTGACTCGCAAAGTCGGATGAAACTTGCACCCGGGGTGTACTGAGTAGTTTGACCCAGGACACAAGAGTGGCCCACAGAGTCAGATGAAACCTACACCCCAACTAGCGAAGAGAAACTGGGAGTGGGGAAGTATGTGAATGCGTGTGAAAGAGGTGGTTCCAAAAGGAACCAATGTGGGGAGTGACATGTGTGAGGCCGCAGGTCTCTTAGCATAGACTGTACACTCCGAGTGAATTGTGGGACCGACCGGGACTAGTGGTGATCCACATATGGCTTAGGGAGGTGGCCCACAATCTAGTAATTGTGGGGGTTAAAACGGAGCCTCCAATGCTAAGCAGCGTCTGAAATACTCCCGCGAGAGGGACGGTCTAATCGGTATGAAGCGAAAGTGAGAGGGAGTGAATTGCACCGTAACTGGGAGGAAATGGGAGGGAAGTCGTCGAAACCCACCCTGTTAGAATGTATGTTAGAGAACTTTTAAGAAAGGTTATGAGGGGACTATGGGATCAAGTTAACCCCCAGAGGTTGAGAATTCTCTGTGAAGTAGAATGGCCCTCTTTTAGTGTCGAATGGACGGCCGAAGGAACTATAGATAGGGAAAGAATTGGCCGTGTATTTAAGGTGGTGACTGTGGTCAGAGGACAGCCAGGGCATCCAGACCGATTTCCATATATTGACTCATGGCTAAATATAATTCAAACTCGACCTGTGTGACTGCAGCCCTGCCTGGCAGTGTATTGCAAAACGCTCGTAGCCCAAGCCGAGCCTATGTTGAAAGAAGGATCAACTTTACTGGGAGCTTTGGAGAGACATAAAAAGCCACAGGAGAGTCAGGAGAAACTAGTTTTATAGGAACTACCAGAGGAGACAGAGATTCTTCCTCCTTACACTCCAATCTACCCCCCTTTACCGAGGCTGGCCCCTGAGGAGTTAAGCTCAGATGGTGGTAAGTCAGAGGCTTCACCCCAAAGGGATGCGTCCGAACTACTGCCTCAGAAATGCAGGGAGGGAAGTCAAAATGACCAAGCAGGCCTCCTCCAGTCTGGCCGCTCCCAAGCCTTACAAATGCCCTTCTGGGAAACTTGAGGATCCATCTATTATGATGAACAGGGCCAGGTACAAGGAGGGCAATGGACCTTCCTCTACCAGGCTTTCTCAACCACTGACCGCCTTAACTGGAAGCACCATATTCCCTCCTACACAGAGAAGCCCCAGGCCCTCATAGATCTGATGCAGCCTATTTCTCAAACACGTAATCCATCCTGACCAGATTGCAAGAAACACCTCCTGACACTGTTAAATACCGAGGAGCTTCGGAGGCTGACCCAAGCACCCCTCCACTGGCTAGAAAACAAGGCACCCTTAATGTCCAGACATACACTTTGGACCAGTTCCCAGAAGCAGACCCACACTGGGACCCAAATGAGGCAGCCCAACTGTAGCAACTGCAGAGGTTCTGAGAGGCACTCCTACAAGGTTTGAGAGAAGGCAGGACAAAGGCACTCAATACGGGAAAGATTTCGGAGGTGCTTCAGAGAGCAGATGAAAGCCCTAGCCAGAGGTACCGAGAGGCATTCCTGCAAGGTTTGAGAGAAGGCAGGAAAAAGGCACTCATTATGGGAAAGATTTTGGAGGTGCTTCAGAGAGCAGATGAAGGCCCTAGCCAGAGGTACTGAGAGGCACACCTGCAAGGTTTGAGAGAAGGTAGGAAAAAGGCACTCAATATGGGAAAAATTTTGGAGGTGCTTCAGAGAGCAGATGAAAGCGCTAGCCAGTTTTATGAGAGACTCTGTGAGACATTCTGGCTATACACACCATTTGACCCCGAGGCTAATGAGAACCAAGGCATGGTGAACACGGCATCTGTAGGACAAGCCCAGGGAGACATTAGGCGGAAACTACAAAAGCTGGAAGGTTTTGCAGGCATGAATGCCAGCTTTTGGAAGTAGCCACAAAAGTGTAAGTTAACCGCGACCAGGAGGCAAAAAGGGAAGCTGATCGGAGACTTAGGAAGAAAGCTGATTTGCTGGCGGCAGCACTCACGGAGAGGAGAGTGAGTATCGCGAGAGGACGTGGACATGGGCGCAGACAAGAAAGGGGTCAAATCGGGAAAAAACCTGAGAATCGGGCAAGACTAGATAGGGACCAGTGTGTTTGGTGCAAGAGGAAGGGACACTGGAAGAATGAATGTCCAGAGGGCAATGAGGGAAAGGACGAAGGCCATAGGGCTAGAAGACTGCTAGCCAAAGGAGGCCGCATTCAGAGGGAGCCAGACACTGACCTTATCAGGCTGGCAGGAACTGAAGGGTATGAAGATTAGGCAAGACTGGGCTCCATCTCCGTAGGCTGCCAGGAGCCCATGGTCATGGTGGCAGTAGGGGGCCAACTGATGGACTTTATGGTAGCCACTGGGGCTGAACACTCGGCAGTGACACGGCCTGTGGGGCCACTATCCAAAAATTATGACTATCGTTGGGGCTACAGGGGTCCCAGAGAAAAGGTCATTCTTCTGGCCCCAGAGATGTGTCATAAGGGGACTAGAGGTCCAGCATGAATTCCTATACCTCCCGAATTGCCCAGTTCCCCTGATAGGAAGAGGCTTACTCGAAAACTGCAAGCCCAGATTGCTTTCAGGCAGCAGGGGAATATGACTTTAAGCCTGCCCCACCCAGAAGCAATGGTGTTAACCCTTACCGTCCCACAGGCAGAGGAATGGAGACTGTGCGCAAAAGGATTGCTAAAGCCAGAGCTACATGAGCTGTATGGGTTGCCTAGTAAAATTCCTGGAGTGGGCTGAAGATAAGCCCCCTGGACTGGCTGGAACCAGGCACCAGTGACAGTAGAACTAAAACCGGGGGAAATTCCGGTTCGGGTTTGTCAATACCCACTTTCCCAAGAAGCCGTACAGGGCATTCAAGGGCATTTGAAGCGGCTATTGGAACACAGGGTCTTGGCCCAATGCTGGTCACCATGGAACACTCTGCTTTTGCCAGTGCGGAAACCAGGGACTAATGAATACAGACTGGTGCAGAACTTGCATGCTGTAAACCAGGCTACAGTGACCATCCACCCAGTAGTACCAAACCTGTATACTTTAATGGGACTCATTCCTGCAAATGCTGCTTGGTTTACTTGCCTGGACTTAAAAGATGCCTTTTTGTTTCCTTGCGTAGCACCAAGTAGTCAGCCCATCTTTGCATTTCAATGAGATGATTCAGTCACGGGTACAGGGGAGCAGCTCACCTGGACTAGGCTCCCACAAGGATTCAAAAAGTCTCCCACAATTTTTGGGGAAGCGGTGGCCCCAGAACTCAAGGTCTACACCCCGCAAATAATAACTGTGCCTTGCTCAACTATGTAGACGATCTCCTTTTAGTAGCCCCAACCCATGAGGACTGTTACCAACGAACCCAAGACCTCCTCCACTTCGTATGTAAAGCTGGTTATAAAGTATCCAGGAAGAAAGCCCAATTTGCCAGGAAAGGGTTAAATATGTAGGCTTCATAGTGAGTCAAGGGGAACGCTGGCTCGGCAATGAATGAAAACAGGCTGTTTGTGCACTCCCAACCCCAACCAATAGGCGTCAAATAATAGCATTTGTCATATCTGGATCCCAAACTTCTCACTTATGGCTAAGCCCTTATATGAAGCCACAAAAGGTGGAAAGTGAGCCCCTCCTCTGGGAAACTGACCAAGAAAAGGCATTTAAACAGATCAAGGAGGCTCTAACTCAGGTCCCGGCCTTAGGACTGCCAGATATAACTAAGCCTTTTCACTGTATGTTCATGAACGAAAAGGAATGGCTATAGGGGTCCTGACTCAAGTCCTAGGATCTTGGCACTGCCTGGTAGCCTACTTATCCAAACAGCTGGACTCTGTAGCTTGGGGATGGCCCCCCTGTCTTAGGGCTCTAGCTGCCACTGCCCTACTAACGCAAGATGCTGACAAATTGACTTTGGGACAACAATTGACTATCCGCACTCGGTTATAACTCTAATGGACCAGCGAGGGCACCATTGGCTATCAAATCTGAGAATGACTCGGTATCAGGGGCTCCTATGCGAGAATCCCCACATAACTTTGGAAACAGTAAACACCCTTAACCCAGCCACCTTGTTCCCGATTGAAACGGGAGCTCCCCTTCATGACTGTGTGGAAACAGTAGATGAGGTATTCTCAAGTTGGGGAGATCTCACAGATTGCCCCCTTGGAGACCCAGATGTTGAATACTTCACAGATCGAAGCAGTTTCATATTGGAAGGGGTCCAATGGGCAGGGTATGTGGTGGTAACATTGGACTCAGTGGTGGAGGCCCAGCCCCTGCCCACCGAAATGTTGACCCAGAAGGCAGAGCTAATAGCCCTAACGAGAGCTCTTTTGCTAGTGAAAGATAAAAGGGTTAACATTTATACTGACTCCAAGTATGCCTTTGCCACATTGCATGTACATGGAGCTATATATAAGGAGAGAGGACTTTTAACTGCTGGAGGAAAAGAAATAAAGTACAAAGAGGAAATTCTACAGCTCTTAGAAGCTGTGTAGGCCCTGAAGAAGGTAGCTATTATGCACTGTAGAGGCAACAGAGGTCAAGAACACTAGAGGCCAAGAGAAACGGAAAGACAGACAGGGAAGCAAGACAGGCAGCAACGACTACTGCACACTCTAGAAAGAAAGCCCTGGTTATCCCTCTCCTCCTGAAGCCTCCCCTCGGGAGATTCCAAGTTACTCTCCAAGTGAGAAGGCCTGGTTTGCCCAAGAATCTGGAAAATATATTGAGGGAGGATGGTGAAAATTCTCTGATAGGAGACTAGCCATTCCTGAAATGCTGGCCCCTAAATTCATAAGGCAATTCCACTAAGGAACTCACATGGGGAAAATGGCACTAGAAACACTACTGGGACACCACTTCTATGTGCCACGGCTCACTGCCATCACCCAAGCCATTTGCAAACAATACCTAACTTGTGCCCGGAACAACCCACGACAGACGCCCACCAGGCCCCCAGGATTCAGGAAATACGGGCCGCACCCTGTAAAAACCTGCTTATGGATTTCACTGAGTTGCCCCAAGTGGGGGACTATCAATACCTGCTGGTGCTCATTTTCACCTTCTCGGGATGGGTCAAGGCTCTCCCCACCCGAACAGAGAAAGCACGACAGGTGACTAAAGTGCTGTTAACAGACATTATCCTCAGATTTGGATTGCCCCTGACTTTGGGGTCAGACAATGGACTGAGATTTGTAGCCAAGATAGTTCAGGAACAAATGCGGCTGTTAAAAATAAAGTGGAAATTACACACTGCCTATCGATCGCAGAGCTCAGGAAAAGTGGAGAGCATGAACCAGACACTCAAATAGCTACTAAAGAAATTTTGCCAAGAAACCCATCTGAGATGGGATTAGGTCCTGCCCATGGTCCTCCTCCAGGTCAGGTGCACCCCCACCAAACAAACTGGGTATTCACCCTATGAGATCTTGTTCGGCTGGCCACCCCCCATCATAGGTCAGATTAAGGGTGACCTCCGAGAACTAGGGGAACTGACTTTGAGAAGGCAAATGCAGGCTTTAGGGATAGCTATGCAGGGTGTCCATGGCTGGGTATGGGAAAGAATGCCCATAAGCCTGAGAGACCCGGTACACCCCTTCAAACCTGGGGACTCTGTTTCGGTCATGAAATGGAATCCAACCACGCTAGGGCCCATATGGGTTGGGCTCCGTACCATAATCTTGTCCACTCCCTCTATTGTTAAAGTTGCAGGAATTGTGCCTTGGATCCATCACAGTTGGTTAAAACCAGAAATCCAGGACTAGTGGACCAGCCAGCAGAACCCAGACCATCCAAGCCGGCTGATCCTGCGACAGGAGCGAGTTGCCACTGAGGACAACAACAGCCCTGCTCTGGTCAGTCCGGAAGCTGACCAGTCTATACATGGCTGAAGCTTGAGGAGGCAACAGCCCTGCTCTAGTCACCCCAGAAGCTGACTAGTCTACGCATGGCTGAAGCTGGAGTAAAGTAATGTGGTTGGAAATCTTAAGTCCAATAGCCTTCCTGATAATACTAATTGTTTTACTATTTATTCTGTCGCTTTGCTCAGCCTCCTCCCCCGGGTAAAGACTCCTTTTGTCCCTGCTGGGTATAAAGATGCTACTCTTTACTTTGTTCCTACTCCTCCCCATTAGGGCACTCCCTTTACCTGTGTCTGGGGATGGGCCCATAGAAAGGTGCCCCCACTGCACTCACACCACGTAGTCGGAGAGCACAGTAACTAGAACCCTGTTATGTCACACTTACTATGAATGTACAGGGACCCACCAAGGTACCTGTATTCACAATCAGATGACCTACTCAGTCTGTGACCAGGGAAACGACCAGCCTTATATATGTTATGACCCTAAGTCCTCACCTTATGAGTCCATTTGGTTTAAAGTCTATGTCAGGCTAAAAGAAGAGAACTTCCTAACCCTAACCAAAAAGATCCCTCCCTCCTACAAGGGGCCTGTTTCCTTGTATTTTGATGCCTGCCAAGCTGCATACATCAGCAACTCTTATCCTGTAGTCTCTTGTGACAGCCTGTCATGGGAAAGATACTATAGTAACTGTCACAAGTATATATGGACACCAAGGAGAGGAACCTCTCAAGAGAAGACCCCTCTTTGCTCCCCCAGGTCTCCAGAAATAGACTGTTAGGCCTGTACAACATGGTCCACTGACCCTGTGGAAAGTCACGAATGAACACAGGGGACAGTCAGGCTTACCCAAATGCCAGCGAAACCATAATATAAGATAAGAACCTGCAGTCCTTTAAATTTTACCATCCTGGAGCCAAATCTGCCTATATGGACTACAGGTTACCCCATGACATTACAGATCTGCAGTCAGGGAACAAACCCAGGAGTCTATTTATATATTAGCAAAAAGCCTCAGACCCGTCCAGCCCAACAATTCCTAGTATTTGAGTCATTTTATGAGCATATCAACCAGGAGTTGCCTGAGCCCTCCCCTTTGTCCAGAAACCTATTTGTTCAACTGGCTGAAAGTATTGCCAGCAGCCTAGGCATCTCCTCATGCTATGTCTGTGGGGGGACCAACATGGGGGACCAATGGCCATGGGAGGCAAGGGACTTGATGCCCCATGATAACTTCACTCTGGTGGCTCCTTCCCCCAAACCCATGCTCACAGATCGGAGCATCTGGCTGTTAAAAACCTCTATTGTCGGGATGTTCTGCATTGCCTGCTGGGGAAAAGCCTTTACAGACCCAGTAGGATAATTAACTTGTCTGGGACAACAGTATTATAATGAGACACTGGGAAAGAGTTTATAGAGGGGAAAAGGGAATGATTCCCAATCACCCCACCCGGGCCAATTCTCTCGTTTCCCCTCCTTAAACCACTCTTGGTACCAGCTTGAAAATCCAAATGCCTGGCAGGCATCCTCTGGCCTTATTGAATCTGTGAACTATGGGCATATTGGCTGCTGCCAACCAAATGGACAGGGGCCTGTGTTCTGGGAACAATCAGGCCATCCTTCTTTCTAATCCCTCTAAAGCAAGGAGAAGCCTTAGGGTACCCCATCTATGATGAAACTAAGAGGAGGACTAGAAGGGGTAGACTCGAATGTAGAGTGGAGCTTATGACAAAATATTATATGTACTTCCAGGGGCAGCTCCTTGGACTTTGCTCTAGAGAATCTCCATTTGGTTGGGGAGTGGGGAGGCAATTACTAGCTTGCAATGGGGGCATTAATTGAAACTGAGCAATGACCTACACAATGTCTCTCTCTCAGGGAAATAGAGAATCATAAAAAGATTGGCCTCTCAGATGCAGATAAAAGGGACCTTGGCCAGGTGCGGTGGCTCACACCTGTAATCCTAGCACTTTGGGAGGCTGAGGTGAGAGGATCACTTGAACCCAGGAGTTTGAGACCAGCTTGGGCACCATGGGAAAACCCCATCTCTATAAAAATTACAAAAATTATCTGGGTATGGTGGCATGCACCTGCAGTCCCAGCTGTTAGGGAAGCTGAGGTGGGAGGATCACTTGAGCCCCATGAGGCTGAGGCTGCAGTGAGCCATGATTGTGCCATTGCACTCCAGCTGGGGTGACAGAGTGAAACCCTGTCTCAAAAAAAATAAAAAAGGGACTTTACCTATCTCAGCTATGAACTGCTTTGGATGAAGGTTGCAATAATCTCTTCTGACAATCCATGGCCATAAATCAAGCCTCAATTGAGTTGGGGGCCTAAATTAATATTATCTTTCATGTCTAACGCCATGCAATATGAGGGCTTTTATTTAAATTGGAGTCAGATCTGCGTCTCCCTGTCATCTGGCAAAAAAAAAAAAAAAAATCATAGAAGAAAACATATTTTTTAAAGGTTTTAAAGTATGCTCATCTATAAAATTGTATCCAGTGAGTTCATAATCTATAATCACTACACAACGTCGAAAATATTTGAGTGAGACTTCTGATTATTCTCATTATATTTCTGTAATCCTCATTATTCTGATTGTGTTGGAAATAATGTTATTCTAAAAACACTTGCTTCAACAGTGAGGTCACTAAAGATTGATGAGGAATAGTCTAAATTCATTTCCACTAACACTTTTCTTATCCAGGTGATTTTCATGCCAAAATTTGCTTGGAGGCCACAAAATATGGGCTCTTTAGATTTACTCATATAACTGTTACCACAGGAGATAAACTTGCTTCTGGGAGGGAAAGTTTCAGTGTTTATGATATTAGTTTATAATTACTTTTTCTCATTATGACACAGTTTGAAATAGGTTCTACCCAACTCTCTAGTCATTTCTGCTCTTTGAGACATTTGTTTCAGGGATCCCCTGCTATTTTCTACTACTAGAACTTATTCCCATAGCCCATGCTTGTTAACAAGGACAGGAGCCAGTAATTTATGAGAGATTTTCAGTATATTGGAAGAAATTTCTTTTATCCTACAAAGTTTTCAGTCTTAGGGCAAAAGTTAATTTTGCTTTCTTAGAAGCCATTAAGCTCAAAATATCAAAGATATTTGTTGGTACATCTGCTGATAATATAAATTGATAAAACCAGACAAGCAATTTGAGAAACATATTAATAATATTTGAACCAGTTATTCTTTTGGAAATATTTAATTGGGAATATTTGAAATATTCTAATAATATCTAATAATATTTGAACCAGTTACTCTTTTGGAAATATTTAATTGGGAATATTTCAAAGGTGGGCAAGTATTTTTAATTGTAACATTTTTTTCTGTTTGTTTGTTTGATTGTGTGTTTTAAGATGGCTTTGCTATGTTGTCCAGGATGGTCACAAACTCCTGGTGTAAGAGATCCTCCCACCTCAGCTTCCTCAGTAGCTGAAATTACAGGAACATGTCACCAACCTCTAATTGTAGTATTTTACAATAATATTTACAACAGAAAAATTAAAAAAAAATGCCACATTAACACTTTATAATATAATGTAGCTTCTAAAAAACGGTTTTTAAATAATAGTCAATAACATGACAGAATTCAGACTAAAATATTTATTAAGCCAAAAAACAGGATACAAATCTACTTTCAAAAATACAATCCCATTATTTTTACAATGGTAGATAAGAGGCGTTGCTAGCATACCTCTCCCACTTGCAAGGACAAAATAATTTGTAGAAATTCACGGTGTAAATTTTTTTACAAGAAGCAGTGTAGGAACTGAACAGGAAAACCAAAGAAATTTATGGACACTTTGAAGCAAGTAGGAGGCTGCAGCCTACAATGTGAGTCAGATGAAGGACTGCCAGTCCCCAGGGTGTGAGACGGGGAGAGTTTGCCTCCAGGATACACACTCCCACAGGGTCCCTGAAAGTCCAGGCCACTGGGGAAGGCCCTAGTTCCACCCAGTGCAGGAACTGACTTGGGGAAGGTTGCGGAATACAACATTAGGAGCAGTTATGGGAAGACCCTTGCGTGCACTCCCAGATTCCAGTGTGGGCTGAGGGCAGTCATTCCTTACTGTTTCTCAGAAAGGACCCTGTGGAGAACAGCAAAAAATTTCAAGTAGTTGTCACAGGTTGAAAGAAACTCCTAACAGGGTTTCATGATATAACCTTGGGTGGGGATAAATTCCCTTGGCCAGGGCCAAGGTGACAGAGAGAGTAAAGCAGGCTGTGAGTGCAGGAGTACCAAGTGCAGGAGGCAGGAGCTCAGCATTTCAGCTGACAGCCTGGCCTGAAAGCTGCGGTTTCTATCTCCCCACGGAAAACTTAGGACTACTAGCAGTGGTGAGGTCTGATTAAAGGCTGACTGGAACTCAGCTCACTGCTCTCAGTGGAGCACTGCAGGTGTGGATCTGCCTCACCAGGTATGTGGCAACTCTGTGGGGCTTACTGCAGCCTGCTACTCCCCATTCACTGTACAAAAACTTCTGTGCAGTACAGGCATCAATATTCCTCTCTGAAACATCAACCCACTGGCCTGAGACCCGCTCCTGTTAACCATGGAGGGTGTTCAGGTTCTTGGCGTCTTGAACAAAGAATTGGACAAAATGCACAAAGAAAGGAAAGAATGAAGGGTTTTGTTGAAAATGAAGGTGCACTCCACAGTGTGGGAGCAGGCTGGAGCATAGGGGCTCAAAGGTCCTCTTACAGAATTTTGGGGAGTTTAAATACTCCCTAGAGGATTCCATTGGTTACTTTGGGTTCGCCCTATGTAAATGGAGAGGATGAAGTAAAGTTACAAAATAATTTAAGGCATACCCCTATGGAGAGAGTATTACCTGTTATAGGTGAAGTGTGAGTCGGCCTATGTTTCCTGCCTCCAGACCCTATTTTCCTGCCTTACTCTCATCCCCCCAAACCCACAAGTGTTGCTGCTTGCCCTGTACATGAAAATCCAAAGTGCAAATGGTGTTGACCCAACCTCTACCTAGCTTTGCCCCACCACCCACCCTGGTAGCTTAACACAAAATACAGAATATTTTGAGAGCTTCATGGCCCTGCCAATTGCCTGAGAAACCAGAATACCTCCTTGGGCAATTAAGGAAGCAAAAATCAAACTGTTTTTACGGTAGCTAGTGCTCTTTTCTAGGCACCACCTCCTGGCTGGAGGCCAACGAACACAGTCCATTACAGTTTCTCCTGGCATAATAACACTGTACCCAGGAAGAACAAAATGCTTGTGTGATCTCAGCTATCACCACTGCCTGCGCCACTTTGGCCAACCAGGAGGTCCTGAGTCTGTCCATGTGACCAGTTCATTGTACTATAACTGAAGTTCAAGAAAGCCAAAACACTAAGGCTATCAATAACCAAGGAATTTCACAGAGTCTACATCACTTCCCTGTGACCCCCATTAGAGCTTGTGCTGCTATCTACTGTTGGGAAACTTGAGGACAGGTCACATCACCGGATCCTTGCAGACATTCTCCAGTACCAGCCTGAAGTGTTGCAACTTCACTGGGCAGCTAGACCCCTAAGAACGACAACACTCACAGTAGTCTGACTCCTAGGAACTCCCAGTCCTAGGTGAAGGGGGAGTGTATCATAAGGGAAAACCCTGTGGGACAAAAGAATCTGGATGGCAGGCCTTGAGAAACAGATCTATCCCCTGGTAGAAAGCTTCTTTTAGCAGAGGTACAGTTGCAGTGTTTAACTCAGAAGGGAAAGTCTTCAGCTCTATCCCAATACAGACAGCCCTGGTGTGCATGAAGGGTCTTGAGGAAAAGGAAGTCTTTCTTCTTTTGCTCACCACTGTAGTCACAGTTGGAGCTTCCCCCAGGTGTGTTCTGTGTTGGTGCAACTACAGACCACCTTTCTGGAACACGTAAGGTGTGACTGCATCCCCACAGGAAGAGCACCCTCCAGGTTCAGCCGTGCATGAGAGAGAATCACAATTTCACTCTACTTGGAATATGAACATTCCTATAGATAAAAAGGGGTGCCTGTCTGATCTGAATAGTCATAGGACTGGGACAAGAGTGTGTTTGAGAGGTGGACCTTCCTGCTGATCTGGCGGGGAAGCTAAGGTGGCTCCAACCCTTCCCCTTGATAAGACCTCGGTGCAATTCATTGAAAGCTCTTCCAGCCACCTCTGACAAGGCTGATATTTCACTTAGCCACGTGCTTTAGTTGCAACCAATTTCTACTCAGGGATATGTCCTCTACTGGCCTGAAGTCTGAAACATCAAAAAAGTACATAAAATACTGAGGTAAAATAAATAAATAAGGAGTGCATGCCACGGGGTAATGAGATAAGCTTTAAGAGACCTTTACCCTTCCAACCCCATAGGAGATAGTAAACTTGCTCATATACCAAGCACATTGCTACTACAACCAGAATATGAGAAAGCCATCATACAAAGACTCTCTGTAACCAAAGAACTTTTACAATCTTCACCCCTGAAAGCACCAAGAACCGAATTAGGCTATAATTTACCATAAGCATTAAAGTATCGTCATTAAGAAGAAAAAAAGATTTAAAAATAAAACAAAACAAAAATCCACAGTAAAATCAAACATAAGCTCAAGAATAACTAGAGGGAAATAGTCTACCTGAATGAGAAGGAACCAGAAAAATAATTCTGGTAATATGACAAAATAAGATGCTATAACACCCCCAAAAGATCACACTAGCTCTCCAGGAATGGACTCAAACCAAGAAGAAATCTTTGAAATACCACATAATGAATTCAGAAGGTCAAGTATTAAGCTACTCAAGAAGATATCAGAGAGAGGTAAAAACCACCATAAAGATACTTAAAAAGCAGTTTGGCATATGAATGAAAAAATTTCTAGAGAGAGTGATATCATAATTTAAAAAATACAGTCAGAACTTCTGAAAATGAAAGACACACTGAGGGAATTACAAAATGCAGTAGAAAGTTTTAAAAATAGAGTAGGACAAATAGAAGAAAAAATTTAAGCGCTCAAAGACAAGTCTTTTGAATCAACCCAATCAGACAAAAATTAAAGAAAAAAGAATCAAAAGAAATTCACAAGGTCTTCAAGAATATGGAATTATGTAAAATGGCCAAATCTAAGAACAATTAATGTTCCTGAGGCAAAAGAGAAAATAATAAATCTGAAAAACTTATTTGAGGGAATAATTGAGAAAAACTTTCTTGTCCTGGCTAGAGATCTAGATATGCAAATCCAAGTAGCTCGAAGAACTCCTGAGAAGTTCACTGCAAAAATATCTTCACCAAGGTATATAGCTGTCATGCTATGTACAGTAAACATGAAAGAAAGACTTCTAAGATCAGCAAAACAAAAGCCTCTGATAACCTACAAAAGAATACTTATCAGACTAACAGCAGACTTCTCAGCAGAAACCTTACAAACCAGATTGGGGACGTGTCTTCAACCTCCTTAAACAAAACAACTGTCAGTCAATAATTTTGTATCCCACAAAACTAAGTTTTATAAATGAAGGAGAAATAAAGTAATTTTCAGACAAATGAATGCTGAGTGAATTTGTTATTACCAAATCAACACCAAAAGAAATGCTAAAAGAAGTTTGAAACTATGAAGACAATGTGGTATATATACACCATTGATTACTACTTAGCCATTAAAAGGAAAAGGATAATGTCTTTTGCAGCAACTTGGATGGAAATGGAGGCCATTATTCTAGGTGAAGCAACACAGGGTCTGTAAACCAAAAGCTGTATGTTCTCACTCCTAATTGGGAGCTAAGCTGTCAATATGCAAAGGCGTACAGAGTGATATAATAGATTTTAAAGACTCAGAAGGGGGAGGGTGGGAGGGGAACTAGGGATAAAACACTACGCATCAGATACAATGTGCACTACTTGTGTGATGGGTGCACCAAAATCTTAGAATTCACCACTGTATAATTCATCCATGTAACAGAAAATCACTTGTACCCCAAAAGCTGTTGAAATAAAATAAAATAAAAATAAAAATTATATAACCCCAATTATAGATTTTGATTTATGAATCGTTACAGGTTTTTGTGCCTTTATTTTCTAAAATAATAAAAATGTGTTATATTTTTAATCAAAATACTTTAACAAATAAAATTCATGTAAAAATACTGTAAATAACTTACATTTAAAAAATAGGGTTATAATTCACATACTTTTTAAAATTGTAATTATACTATGGGTATTTTTTCAGATTTTACATATAAACTCTGAATGCATGCTTAGAAAGGCATGATAAAATAGTTCACATTAGACCATAGCCACAAAACAAAGAAACTCACACATTCTGCTGTAATATATAATAAATATGTATTTTGAAATGTATTCTAGAAGTAGCCAAATTATATTCTACTATGGCACATAGTGTGCAATTATATTCCTCACACTAGAATATATGCTTTTTATAGAAATTTAATCTTATGCTAAAACAAATAATTTATTATATCTAATTTAAAAAAAATACCTGTCTAAAGCACTGGTTCTATTTCTAGCTGTGAAATGAAATCACCGAGGTTTATTATTTTTCAAAATACCTAGCCTTTACCTCCAGATATTTTGTGTTAATTAATCTGGGTGTGAGGACCTGAAATCAAATACTTTTAAATTTAACCCCTTCACCAGACTTATTTTGATATGTGTGCAGAATTCAGAACCACTAGTCTGGAACTTCTTACTCCTCTTAACTGCTGTTTCTGCTTGCCCAAAAGAAAATGCGGCCAAAATTTTAAAGGGGGGTGGTAGAAGAGTAATAGGGAGAGAGTGGCCAATGTTTACAGTTATACTTAGGAGAAATAAGTTCTGGTGCTCTATTTGCACAGCAGGGTGCCTATTGTTAACTATACTGTATGGTGTAGTTCAAAATACCTACAAGATAGAATTTTGAATGTTATTACCACAAACAAATGGTAACTGTATGAGATGATGAATATGCTAAATATTCTGATTTGATTTTATACAATGTATATATGTATGGAAACATCACAACGTACTCTATAAATATAAACCATTATAATGTGTCAATAAAAACAAAATTAGAAAAAAGATCTAGGCGGGGAAGTAATGTATTTTACATTCAAGCTATTCATTTACAATTACGTTACTTACAATTTTCCCCTAATGCTACTAAAAAAAAAGAGAAAGAAATGCATTTATAATTACTTAGATATATTTAAAAACTTAAACTTTTCTTGACATTTTGTTCACTTAATTTATGACACATTATTTTTATAGCATGTTAAATTTGTTTATTCTTTAAGGTAAATTCTCTGGATTTGTGTCAATTACATCTGCTATTATACAGATTATATAGCTCTACTTTTTAGTTGAATCTTAATCCACTTTTAAATAACTGTGGCACTAGGAAATAAAAATCTAAAATGAATAAACAAAAAAAATTGAAGTAACCAGACATTAAACTATTTGGATTGCTTCTGATTAATCAATACTATTTTATCTGTTTCTATACTGAAATTTTCTAATAATCAGTTAAACTCTTCTTATTTGAAAGAAATTTCTGGGAGGGAAGAGTTAATGGACAACATGAACTAGCCAGAAATGAAAAATAAGCTTCAAATTTTTCTTTCAAAGATGAGAAACTGGCAGTTTGATGAAAATTGTTTGCATAGATTAGATAGGTATAAAATCAGGCTTCCAGATATTAACTTGCAACATAGTCTGTATATAATCCATTTTATTTCTGCTCATTTTCGCATAATTGAAAGCAATTCACTAATTAACAATGTTCTTGATCCAAAGACTCTTAAAAGATCATTAATACATTAATGATTAATACATTTTTTACTAAAATGTTAGAAATCACCTGAACAAACTAGATGCAAAATTTTATACTAATTTATTAAAATATAAGTTAAATTTTCTAAAACAAAAATTTTTAGAACTTAAGATGACCCCAAACTTCCATAAATCAACAATAATCAAGTTTAATCTTTCAGCTTGAATTTTGAGATTAAAAAACAATATACCTAGTGCCTGTCTCATCATGTTACATGTAAACAAAATACTTATAAACCCAAGCTCTGTCACTTTTGTTCAACGTTGAACTATGCGCCCAGTTGACAGATAATATGGACTCCCCATGCCTCACCGAGGTGCTCCAAGTTAAACAGAATTAGGTGGCCATGGCTGGGTGAGGGAATGGTCACCCACTCTGTGTTCTCTGAAAGATGTAAAAGTGTCAATGAACCTACCTTTTCACAATGAAGCCAAACTAATTCTTGTTGTCAATCTTGAGATAGACTGCAGCTGGATATTTCCCAACTGATCACCAACAGACTATCTCCTGTCAACAAATTAATCACCTGAAACCAGTCAATTAAGAAAGACTGATGAGTTTGGGCTTAAAGCTCATCCAGTCAAAACATTCTATTTCTCACTCTCCTAACTCCCTTCTCTTGCCCTACTGTTTGTGCCTTTATAAGCTCTAACTCTGCAACCTCTCCTCAGAGCACATTTTCAGTTTGCATTGAAGGTTGTATCTCCCCAATCTGCAGACTGCTTATAGAAAATATAGCTCTTCTTTTTTTCTCTGCAGATCTCATGGTCTTTTGTCAAAATTGAAATGAAACATCAGGAATGCAGAATATCAAGAATTCTGGTTATTTTTTGGCATCAAAGTGTATTTAACATCTTATAACAAGAAAGATAAAAGAAAATCTCAATGACATTTCATTACCACTAAAAAAAAAAAGAAATAGTTACCAAACTTACATTATCCCAAATGTCTCTCCAGGGGCCAGTTACATCAGGATCATCACTCCAGAGAGCCTGTTAAAATAGATACTTCAAAGGATTCAGATTTAGTAGAGCTAAGAAACTAACATTTGTAATACATTCATTAGGTGTTTGTGCTGATATGCAGAAAGGTTGGAGAACACCTGAAACCTAAATCTTACCTCTGAAATATGTACATCTTTCTAAAAAATAAGAAGGAAAAATTATTCTGTCATACACAATATAAACTGATGATATTAATAATATATGAAAGATTTTGGGGCCATTTTTCCACTGCCTTTAAATTGAAATTATTTTCTCTCTCTCATTCTCTCTTGTCCGCTTTATCTCCTTCATAATTGGCATAGTAACCATCAAATATTTGCTTTGGTCTCACAATGTAGTCCATCTAACACCCTGAAATTCTATTGCTATTGCTATTCTGGGGGGTCTGTGTGGTGGATGCGTATGCACACACACATATATACACACATATATAGATATACACATACCCATATATACATACATATATACATAAATATATATAGAGAGAGAAAGAGATAGAGACAGAGAAGACAGACTTTTTGTCTTATTTCTGATTATTAGCAACTAGAATTTTATTAACATAACCTCATGTAAGAGTCATAACTATCACTTTCTCCTTTGCCAAAGATTTGTAGCCTCAGATTTTATGTTTCTGAAGGATCGTCATCGGTATTATTTCCATTAACAAGAGATAGGTTATCAGAGAAAGGAGAAATGTAGTTAGGCAGAATACAAAGGATAACACGCCATTATGGGAAACCAAAAATATTTTACCCCAAAGTCTACTTTTTTGAGATATTTCCAGAAAGCTATTCAGAGAACCTGCACACAGGAATACCTTGGCAAAGCTGCCTTTTGCAGAAGAGATGTGCATTTGTAAAAAAGAAAAAAGAAAAAAAAAAGAAAAAAACTGCATTGGTAAAATAAACAGACTTTCAATCCCAGCACTTTGGGAGGCTGAGGCAGGTGGATCATGAGGTCAGGAGATCGAGACCATCCTGGTTAACATGGTGAAACCCCGTCTCTACTAAAAATACAAAAAATTAGCCTGGCATGGTGACAGGCGCCTGTAGTCCCAGCTACTCGGGAGGCTGAGGCAGGAGAATGGCGTGAACCAGGGAAGTGGAGCTTGCAGTGAGCCGAGATGGCGCCACTGCACTCCAGCCTGGGTGACAGAGCAAGACTCCGTCTCAAAAAATAAAAATAAAAATAAAAATAAATAAACAGACTTTCTGAGGCCCCTCTCTTATCTGGGTCTAGGAAAGATTAACCAACCACAAACTATCATCTACTTTTTCTAAAGGCAGCTCAGAGATTACCTGGAATATTTTTATCTGCATAACAAGATTACCTTTGCTTGACATAAATTCCTTCCTTCATTTTTCTATAACCCATAATGTGACATTCTTCAGAGCTCAGAGAAACCTGTTTCTGGGCTGCTGTTCTTTAGGTTCATTAATTTCCTCTGAATATCATTTACTCCTACAAGCCTCCATCTCCCCTCTCTTCAATGAAGTGAATATTTAAGCATCAGTCATCTTCCTTTTCTTTCAGGATTTTTATTTGTATGACTCTCATGCTCACATATTCATGCCAATACATTTGTATGTCTTTTTTTCTGCTAATTTCTGTAGGGGACAAGGGAAAACTTTTCCTTTGTGCTCTGAAGATTCTATAAAAATCAAATTAAAAAGAAGCATATCAATGTAATCATTTGATGGCCTTTTCCTGCCTGCTGCACAAACACTGAGATCACAGCATTGCAGTAAGGAAAGGATTTATTTTACAGGAAACTGGCCACATAGGAGACATGCTTTTTACCCAAATCAGTCTCCTTGAAGGCTTAGAGTTATGGTCTTTCAAGAAAATTTGGTATGCAGGGAGAAGACTAGGTAATGGCAGTTACTGATTGGTTGTGTTTCAGTATATAGCTAGGCAGGCATCAGAGGGGCATGAGAGGGCTCACCCTCCACCCACTGGGAATGTCAGGCAAACATCAGGTGATGGCCTAGCAGTTATCACACTGCCTCTCTAGAATGAGAATTGATTGCAGCTCATACCAGAGAGAGGCAGTTTCCAGATGGTTGGGCTTTCTAAAATAATAATTCATCACAGCCAATGCCAGAAAGAGGCAATTTCTCAATAGATAAAAACACTTGAAATTGGTAATTGACAGCTTCCAATAACAACTCAGGAATGGGGTGAGTTGGCTTGAGCATGTACATTAAGAGATAAAATGGTAAAGTATGACCTTCCCAGGGCATTTCACCAGAAAAGGAAGAAAGCCTCAGGTGAGCATGCTTACGACTACTTAAACACACTGTGCGTGTTCACCTCCCGAGTGCAAGGAGGGCACCATGCATGCGGGTGACTCACCTTTAGGGAAGACTGAAAGGAAAAGGATGCAAGATGCTAGAAGTAGACCGGCATATAAAATCTGAGGTTCAAGGTTAAACAAGGTGCTTGATTTCCAAGATGCCCACTTGGATCCCTTCCAAGTGTATTTTCCTTTCTTTCCTGCTCTAAAGCTTTTCAATAAACTTCCACTCCCACTCTGAAACTTGCCCCAGTCTCTTTTTCTGCCTTATGCACCTCAGTAGAATTCTTTCTTCTGAAGAGGCAAGAATTGAAGTTGCTGCAGACCCATACAGATTCAGCACTGGCAACCTGGATATTTGCCACCGCTAACAGTTGAAGTTGCCATAATAGGAGTGTGAAAAATGGTCCTCATGCGTTGAGTCCACCTCTCAGTGGGGGGCCACAGGACTGGTTGAGTCATGAATCAGAAGTCCAGATGGATTAACTTGGTTGCCAGAACACAAAAGTGTGCAAAAAAAAATCTCAAAAGATGAATCTTAGCTTCCACAATAGTGATATTATCTATAAGAGCAACTGTGGAAGTCATGAATCTTGTCATCTCCAGCTACCTGAGTCCTGAGCAGTAAGGGATTATAGAAACTATGCCTACATCTTAGCAGAATTCAAGTCCCTCTCATAATCTTACTTGCAGGGACTTTCATTAGTTTTACAAGGCTGATTTAGTTTGGGGAAGAGCTATTATCACCCTTGCTTTAAGATTAAACTACAAACTAAATCTCTCCCAAAGTTTGCTTGGCCTATGCCCATGAATTACTGAGGAGAGCTTCAAAATTATGAGTGAGATGAAGTCAATGATGTCAGATTTCTCTTATTGCCATAATTTTACAAAGGCAGTTTCATTAATGGGATAAAAGGCATACAAATTTTATTAACATGCATGAGGGGCAGGGGTTGGGGGAAAAATGATTACCCCAAACCCTCAATGGGATATAGAAGTGTACTCTTTTTCATAGGGGAGGGAGGTGATAAGGAATGTAGAAAATTCTTTTGGGCAGCAGTAAGTGATTATTAGAGAGAATGAATGGACCAGGGAGACAGAAATTAACTCATAAGTGATTCTCTTTGGAATTTAAATCAGTTCAAGAGTCAGGCATTATCTTGCAAAAAAAGTCTATTTGGTGTGGTTGCCTTCTTTAGTCTTCTATTCTGAAATTGGTGACATTTCAGGGAAGAAATTGAAAGGAATTATGTTTCTGTTGGTATGAAGCTTTCCTGCTCTGCACTGAGCATCGTGGCTTATGCTTGTAATATCAGTAGTTTGGGAGTTCAAGGCAGGAGGATTGCTTGAGGCCATGAGTTTGAGACTAGCCTGGAGAACATGGGAAATCATGCCCTACAAACCATAAATTTTCATCAGATGGGTTTTATTTAGTCCTATATATCATGACTTACTTTCCAACCTGACTCTGGCACAATATTATGAGACATGGAAGTAAATCAAAATATTTTATGTGAAAACATGTTTCTTTGCCATATCTTGAAATGGCCCTGCAAAGCTGTCCTTTGTGGAAGAAAATTTACATCTGTAAAGAATCTCTATTAACATAGCCAATCTTTTTCTTCCAGACCCTCCCAATCCTAAACAGATTGACTAAAAATCTAGCACCTTTTAAAGATCCGAATAGAAAACATTAGTCATCTATTGTCTCTAAGGGCAGCCACTATAAGGCTTCAAAATAACCTTGGTCTCCACAGTCTTTTATCTTAACCTTAACATTTCCTTTCTGTCAATCCCAGGTCTCTAGACCAACTCAACCAATTGTCAACCAGAAAGTATTTAAATTTACCTACAGCCTGGAAGCCCCCACTTTGAGTTGTACCACCTTTCTGAACCAAACCAATGTATTTATTAAATGTATTTGATTGATGTCTCATTCCTCCCTATAAGGTATAAAACCAAGCTACATCCCAACCCCCTTGGGCACATGTTCTCAGGACCTCCTGAGGGCTGTGTCACCAGCCATGGTCACTCATATTTGGCTCTGAATAAATCTCTTCAAATATTTTACAGAGTTCGGCTCTTTTCGTTGACAGTGACATTGATATGATATGGCTGTGTCCCCACCAAAATCTCATCTTGAATTCCCACGTGTTGTGGGAGGGACCTGGAGGGAGATAATTAAATCATGGAGGCAGGTCTTTCTCCTGCTGTTCTTGTGATAGCCAATAAATCTCATGAGATCTGATAGTTGTATAAGGGGGAGTTTCTCGGCAAAAGCTGTCTCTTTGCTTGCTGCCATCCATGTAAGATATGACTTGCTCTTTCTTGCCTTCCATCATGATTGTGAGGCTTCCCCAGCCATGTAGAACTGTAAGTCCATTAAACTTCTTTCTTTTGTAAATTGCCCAGTCTCAGGTGCGTCTTTATCAGCAGTGTGAAAACGGACTAATACAGGCACGCAGCTGTGGTCTCAGCTACTCAGGAGGCTGAGGTGAGAGGATGGCTTGAGCCTGGGAAGTTGAGACAATAGTGAGCTATGATAGTGCTACTGCAGGGCAGCCTGGGTGACAAAGTGAGACCCTGTCTCAGAAAAAGAAAATGCTTCTTGAGGAGTGGGAGGAATGCAACAAGGTTAGAAGGACCTTGATTCTGAGGCTTATTTCTGAGGTCTTTTCATTTTCAAAAGCACAAAGCATGCCCAAGCACCATATTTTTTGTATTCATTTTCTGCATCCCAATATTGTCTATTAGTTGGTTTTACAGACTCAAATAATTGAACCTTCAGGAGAAAAATTTAAACTTTTCTATTGATAAGGTTTGGCTGTGTCCCCAACCAAATCTCATCTTGAATTCCCATGTGTTGTGGGAGGGACCCAGTGGGAGGTGATTGAATCATAAGGGTGGGTCTTTCCCATGCTGTTCTCTTGATGGTGAATAAGTTTCACAAGACCTGATGATTTTAAAAAGGGGAGTTTCCCTGCACAGACTCTATTCTCTTGTCTGCCACGATGTGAGATGTGCCTTTTACCTTCTGTCATGATCATGAGGCCTCCCAAGCCACGTGGAACTGTAAGTCCATTAAATCTCTCTCTCTCTCTCTTTTTTTTTTCTGTAAATTGCCCAGTCTCAGGTATGTCTTTATCAGCAGTGTGATATGTCTTTATTGGCAGTGCGAAAATGGAATAATACAGTAAATTGTTACCAGTAGAGTGGAGTGCTGCTGAAAAGATACTGGGAAAGGTGGAAACGACTTTGGAACTGGGTAACAGGCAGAGGTTGGAACAGTTTGGAGGGCTCAGAAGAAGACAGGAAATTGTGGGAAAGTTTGGAACTCCCTAGAGACTTGTTGAATAGCTTTGACCAAAATCCTGAAAATATGGACAATGAAATCCAGTCTGAGGTGGTCTCAGAGGGATATGCGAAATTTTTTGGGAACTGGAGCAAAGGCGACTCTTGTTATGGTTTAGCAAGAGTTTTGCCACTGCCCTGGAGATTTGTGGAACATAGACTCTGAGAGAGATTATTTAGGGTATCTGGCGGAAGAAATTTCTAAGCAGCAAAGCCTTTAAGAGGTGACTTGGGCGCTGTTAAAATCATTCAGTTTTAAAAAGGAAGCAGAGCATAAAAGTTCAGAAAATTTGCAGCCTGACAATGCGATAGAAAATAAAATCCCATTTTCTGAGGAGAAATCCAAGCCGGCCGCAGAACTTTGCATCAGTAACAAGGAGCCTAATGTTATTCCCCAAGACAACTGGGAAAATGTCTCCAGGGCATGTCAGAGGTCTTCATGGCAGCCCCTCCCATAACAAGCCTAGAGGTCTAGGAGGAAAAAGCAGTTTTGCGAGCTGAGCAAAGGGTCCCTGTGCTGTGTGCAGCCTAGGGACTTAGTGCCCTGCATCCCAGCCACTCCAGCTGTGGCTGAAAGGGGCCAACATATAGCTCAGGCCGTGGCTTCAGAGGACGCAATTCCAAAGCCTTGGCAGCTTCCACATGGTGTTGAGTGTGCAAATGCACAGAAGTCAAGAATTGAGGTTTGGGAACCTCTGCCTAGATTTCAGAAGATGAATGGAAACGCCTGGATGCCCAGGCAGAAGTTTTCTGCAGGGGCAGGACTCTCATAGAGAACCTCTGCTGGGGCAGTGAGGAAAGAAAATGTGGGGTCTGAGCCCCCACATAGAGTTTCTACTGAGACACCACCTACTGGAGCTGTGAGAAGAGGGCCACCGTCCTCCAAAATCCAGAAGGATAGATCCACTGACAGTTTGCACCGTGCGCCTGTAAAAGCCACAGACACTCAATGCCAACCTGTGAAAGCAGCCAGAAAGGAGGCTGTACCCTACAAAGCCACAGGGGTGGAGCTACCCAAGACCTCAGGAACCCACCACTTGCATCAGCGTGACCTGGATGTGAGACATGGAGTCAAAGGAGATCATTTTGGAGCTTTAAGGTTTGACTGCCCTGCTGGATTTCCGACTTGCATGGGGTCTGTAGCCCCTTTGTTTTGGCCAATTTCTGCCATTTGGAATGGCTGTATTTACCCAATCCCTATACCCACATTGTATCTAGGAAGTAACTAATTTGCTTTTGATTTTACAGGCTCATGGGCAGAAAGGACTTGCTTTGTCTCAGATGAGATGTTGGACTTTTGAGTTAATGCTAAAATGAGTTAAGACTTGGGGGACTGTTGGGAAGGCATGATTGGTTTTGAAATGTGAGGACATGAGATTTGGGAGAGGCTGGGGTGGAATGATACGGTTTGGCTGTGTCGCCATTCAAATCTTATCTTGAATTTCCACATATTGTGATATGGACCTGGTGGGATGTGATTCAATCACGGGAGTGGTTCTTTCCCATGCTGTTCTCATGATGGTGAATAAGTCTCATGAGATCTGATGGTTTTAAAAACGGGGATTTCCCTGCACAAGTGCTCTTTTCTTGTCTGCCTCCTTGTCAGACATGTCTTTCATCTTCTGTTGTGACTGTGAGGCCTCCCTAGCCAAGTGGAACTGTAAGTGCGTTAAATCTCTTTCTTTTGTAAATTGCCCAGTCTTGGGTATATCTTTATGATCAGCGTGAAAATGGACTAATACACCTATGCTATTAAATATTATAATTCTAAAAATGCACACCACCCATAACAATGAAAATGGAATTTCATTAACAGGCTGTAAAACTGTGTAATTTTTTTTTTTTTTTTTTGCTTCCTAGTTGTTACATTAAAATTTCTGTCTTATATTCATGTACATAGTAAGCCAGTGATAGATGCAGAAAGCAGATAAGGGAGAGGGTCTCCCGACAATCTCCTACCGGCCTGTGCACTGGGAGAACAGGGTGGAGCCATGGGAAGTTTGTGCTGTTTACACAGGGGAGGAGCCTGGCCTCTTCAGTTACTGTGTGTGGCCTAAAATCAACCTGTGAGGTGGCAGCCTGTTAGCAGGAACTCCTCTCGCTTTGTTGAGAGGTGTTTTTTGTTGTTTTTTTTTTTTCCTTTTTGCCCAATAAATTCCATTCCCCTCACCCTTCAATGTGCCTGCATGCCTAACTTCCTGGTCGTGTCACAAGAACTTGGTTTTAGCTGAACTAAGAAGCAAAGTTCTGCAACACCAGGGTTCGCTAATTATATGAAAGAAATTTGTCTGACATTATATCACAAGGCACATATGCTGCTGTGTTCTTTTCACACGAATCTAATGCCTTTATGTTCTATTCAAATTTCTTCTACACAGTCCTTTAATACTTTCTATACATTCTCCAGAATACATGATTATAATTTAATTTCCTACTAATTCTTTCCTGTGGATACTATTCAGAGTGGAATTGGAAGGTGTAAGAGAACAGATAATGTGATTGATTGTGACTAATTTGTGTCCTGCTCAACCTGAAAAGAATTTTTGATCTGCTTAAAGTCAGTAGCAGTTGGATACCTCTTTGCCCCATTGAAAGAGCCATATGTGCTCTGAATGAAAGAAGGCTATTTATTTATTGGTATTAAATTTTTTAATGTAGGAAATATTTATCACATAAATTAATACTAACAATCAAAATGCCATTAACATAATGCAACACATTTGATAAAATATATGTTATGCAAATAATCACTTAAAAAATTAGGCATTAGGGACTTCAATAAAATTGTCTGCTAACTTTTGCAAAACACTATTTTCTCTTTTAAAAAACATTTTCAAAACTAGTAAAAATGGCTAACGTACAATTTTAAGAAAGATACAGGTAATAGATATTGTAGGGTAGCCAAGGGGACAATTCCTCTTTGCCCTCTTAAGGTTGGCTGAAAATCACCGACATGAGACACGTTGATTAATAAGAGAAAAGGCATACAAATTTATTCAATGTTTATACAGGAAACAAAGATCCAACCCCCCAATAAGGCAAAGAAGCTTATACACCAGCTTGATGTTACAGAAAGAATGGGACTCAGATCCTGGCAAAACAGATTTTGAAAGGGAGGAAGAAGAATTATGGTGAGGGGCAATAATTGAATAACAGGAAGAATAAATGGATGGGGAACAGATTAACTGGTAAATAGTTCTCTTTGGAATTTGAATACATTTGAGAGACAGACATTATCTTATATAAGAGTCTGTTCTTGTGTGGTTAAATTCTTGGTCTTCTTTTCGGCAATAAATAATTATATAATAGGGAAGAGAAAAACAACAACAATTGTTCTCCCTGGTGCGTCTGGACTTTGGGCCGATAGAGCAGCTTCAAATAACAACTTTGTCCCATGCTTTGGGAGAGGCTGTGGTGGAGGACAGGTCAGCGAGACTTGAGGCTTCTTAAGTTCAGCACATTAAAACACCATATTTTGGGATATCAGTTTCTGAGCCCACAAAATATAGAGGTGTATAAAAAATGTTCTATATTTGTGTAATGCCAACATCATTTCTGCTAAATTGCACTCTAGCTGTTATTTGATAAGATATATTTTAGCAAAAAATTAATAAATAATATGTTAACTAATTTCCTGTGGGGGTGCAAAATGGGTGATTTCTTTCCTCCCCATAAGGGTCACAGCTGACACCCTTAGAACAAAGACAGTTTAACAAGAGAGAAGCAAAATAATTATATTGAATCACAGTTTTATGTTACATGAGAACCTTCAGAATAAAGACCCAAAGATATGGGTGAAGGTGTCCGTTATTATGCTTAGGTTTAATAAAAAATGGTCAACTGTGCAGAGCCATGACTGAAAAGAGAGTAATAGCTAATGCTAATAGACTGAGTCGGGAAACAGCAAAGCCCGTCTGTTCGTATTTGTCCTAGCCTCTCTGTGCAGCATTTCTTCCTTCTGGATATAGGTAAGGACCCTCTTTTAAAAGGGGCTCTTATGACCTACTATCAAACAAAGTAGGTCAGATAAGTTCTTTATGGCAGTTAGGAGGAGTGGTCCAGGAGAGGGCTCTTTCTCCACCCATTAGGAATGTTGGGTAATTGTTCAGCAATTATCACATTGTAAAAGTGATAAATTGACAGCCGGTGTCAGGGAGAGGTCATTTTTTTTATGGTCCACACCTGTTGCACTAAAGTGTTAATTGTAGGTGCCAGAGAGATGCAACTTCCTGGGCATGTGCATTAAGAGACAAAATGGCAGAGTATGACCTTCCGAGGACACTCCACCAGAAAAGGGAAGAAAGTCTCAGATGAGCACGCATACAACTTCCTAAAAATACTGCGTGTACTCACCTCCCAAGGGTAAGAAGGGTACTGCATGTACAGGAAGCCCACACTAAGGGAAGAATCACGGGAAAGGGGCCAGTCTATAAAGTTCTAGGATCAGGGTTAAAGATGGCACTTGACCTTCACATGCCCTCTTATGTCTATTCCAAGCGTACTTTCCTTTCTTTCCTGTTCAAAAGCCTTTTTAAATAAAATTCCACTACTGCTCTGAAACTTGCCTTGGTCTCTTTTTCTGCCTTATGCCTCTCAGTTGAATTCTTTCTTCCGAGGAGGCAAGAATTGAGGTTGCTGCAGACCTGTACGGATTCACCACCCTTAACTCCAATACCTTCCACCCCTAACATATTTGGTGCCATGAGACTCAGATATTTGCCACCAGTAACATATCTGGTGTTGGGAGACTTGGATATTTGCCACCCCTAAATACTTTCACAGAAAGAAGAGGAAAGTTAGGGTAATCATTTTTAGGTTTTATGACTATTACCTAACTTATCTTTGTTTATTATATTTCCATAGAAATGCCTCATTAAATATTTGAATGCTGAAATCATACAGAGGCCTTACTTTTGTGGAAGCCCATCTACAACATCTCTTCCAGAAAGGAAACACAGTGTTAACTGTCTCATGTGGAAAAGGAGTTCTAGTTTCTATGACCCATCTTGGAGAAAAGGGATTTTAGTTTCTATGGCTTCCCTTGGGGGAAAATGAGGGGGTAACAGACAGGAGTGCAGGAGAAGGACAGAGAAAACCTATGCTTCTGAGATCTTAATTTGGGGGTATTGTTTTATGAGCCTCAATGTTCTCCAATCTGAAACTTCCACAAAAAGATTCGAAGTCTAGAAATTGGGTTGGTGGGTTGTCTCATAAGCCATTGTCTCTGCCTCTTAATCCCCAAATAGGCCAGTCCAATTAAACAGTTAACAGTTATGTCTCATTTCAGGAAGTGTTGTTGTAGATGAGCTTCCAGACAAGTCAGACCTCTACATGATTTCAGTAATTAAATATTTATTAAGATGAATTTCTGTGGAAACCAAAAACAAACAAACAAAATAGTTCCTCAGATATTTTATGACTATCTACTACTTAATGTAACATAACATGACTTTTAGATTTTAAATAACTGAAAAGATTCTTGAAACTAACAAATTTCACTTACAAATATATAAATGTTTGTTTATATTTGCTTTTTTTTATTGTTTGCCTGGTACAATTTGTTTTGTTAATTTTCATTTTATTTTAATATATTTTGGGGTACAAGTGGTCTTCTGTTACATGGATGAATTATACAGTGGTAAATTCTTTTTTTTATTACACTTTAAGTTCTATGGTACATGTGCACAATGTGCAGGTGCAGGTTTGTTACATGTGTATACATGTGCCATGTATATGTGTGCCAGGTTTGTTACATATGTATACATGTGCCATGTGCCATATGTATACATGTGCCATGTTACATATGTATACATGTACGTGTTAACTCATCATTTACATTAGGTATATCTCCTAATGCTATCCCTCCCCCCTCCCCCAACCCCACTACAGGCCCTGGTGTGTGCTGTTCCCCACCCTGTGTCCAAGTGTTCTCACTGTTCAGTTCCCTACAGTGGTGAATTCTAAGATTTTGGTGCACCCATAACTCAAGTAGTGCACATTGTAACTAATGTGTACTGTTTTTATCCCTAGCTCCCCTCCTACCCTCCCCCTTCTGAGTCTCTAAAGTCCATTATATCACTCTGTATGCCTTTGCATATTGATAGCTTAGCTCCCAATTATGAGTGAGAACATATAGTTTTCGGCTTACCACCCCCGTGTTACTTCACTTAGAATAATGGCCTCCAGCTCCATCGAAGTTGCTGCAAAGGACATTATTCTCTTCCTTTTAATGGCTAAGTAGGAATCTAAGTATATATACCACATTTTCTTCATCCACTCATTAGTCAATGGGCACTTAGGTTGGTTCCACATCTTTGCAATTGTAAACTGTGCTGTTATAAACATACATGTGCAAGTTTCTTTTTCACATAATGACTTTTTTTCCCTTGGGTAGATACCCAGTTGTGAGATTGCTCAGTTGTATAGTAGGTCTAGTTTTAGCTCTTTAGGGAATCTTCATATTGTTTTCCATAGAGCTTGTTCTAATTTACATTCCCACCAGCAATGTATAAGCATTCCCTTTCCCCTACATCCACGCCAATACAGATGGTTTTTTTTTTTTTTTTTTTTTTTTTTTTTTTTTGCTATTTAATAATGAGCGTTCCCACAGGAGTAAGGTGGTATCTACAGACCTTTCAAAAGGTCCTTGAGTTCCTGTTCAGTACCTGCATTGCTTCTTGAAAACATTCACAATATGATTCTCTATGCACTATTTTGTCCTTTCAATTGAGAGAGGTATGCTAGCAATGCGTCTAATGTGCCATCTTGAAAAATAAAATAAAATAAATTCCTTATTTTTAACAATTATATTTTAATTGCTCATAGAAAACAGAGGTAGCTTTTTAAAAGTTATTTTCTTTTGAAAAAGCAAAGCAAAGTTAACTCTAAATCAGCCAGTCTCATCCTAACTCATGCATCTGAATCACTGGAGGCAGGATGTGGTCATACCAGGCTAGATTCTGCCCTGCAGCTGGTGGCCCAGGTGCTTTAAGCACACTCACGTCCCCAGGATTGACAATGGTGATCTGTCTAGATCCCAGAATACAGAGGCTCAAAATTAAGTACATAAGCTCACAACAAGATGTATGTTTTCTGGGAGCCCAGCATCCAGCCTCCTCAGGTTCCTCCTCCTGAGACAAATCAAGAATGCATCAACAATATTATAAAAGCAGAGATAACGAAAAGCTAAAATTTAAACCTGGTTTTTTCCTCTCCTTTAAATATCCAGGAGGTAACAAGCTTGCTTGAATAGGAACTCTAGGTTTAAAAAAGTATGCTTGTATAATAATAAATTCTGACACTTCTGAAGACATTTTTACTTTTAGTTCAGAGTTTTAAATCTAGCTTTATTTACCAAAGGTTATCTCAGATCACTTAAACTAAAATGCATTTGCATTAGTTTTTTTTTTAATTTTATCTTCAAAAAAGACTGTAAGATATATTGTCTACTATTAAAATAAATGTATGTAGGCTGTGGACTAGATTTTAGGTTTGAATGTTTCCAAAATTCATCTGGGTGAATTTGTTGCATTTTTTTCTAATTTGGTCTTCAGGTTTTTCTCTGGAAGGTGGTTATAAACTCCAGCCCTGGCCTGGCAGATTTATCAAGAGTGTAATTGGATTGTTTGCAACTCAATGGATAAATGCTGTGGGAATGGATACCCCATTCTCCAAGATGTGCTTATTTCACATTGTATGCCTGTATCAAAATATATCATGTACCCCATAAATATGTACACCTACTATATACCCACAAAAATTTTAGAAAAAAAGCTAGCCACTCTCTGGGAAAGCCCTGATAAAGGGCCAGGTGAGTGGGAGAATTAAGTTCAAGTGTTTCAGTTAGATGAGACCGATGAGACACAGGATAATTTAAAAAATGGTAGCAAAAAAAATCATAGGAATGTAATACAGGATTTTACAAATAATTAGACAAATTAGCATACGAGAAAATTCAGATACCATTGCTATTTACTGCCAATTTCTATCTGACTTGATCAGACATCTGAGACTGTTTTTTTTTAATCTAAGCATGTGAAGAAACTAAGAGGACAGGAAGCCAGAGATTTTCCCTGTAACAACCATTTTTTGCCACCACTGTCAGTTACCTTGAAAATTGCAGCTCTTGACAGTGACTTTTTAATGACTGTAAACTCAAAGTTCTAGTGTTCTCTCACACTATAAAATAACCCTTTGTACTCCCAAAAGCCAGAGATCACGGAACTCAAGGCAGAAGACAAAAGAGCTTTACACTTTGGAGGAACCCATCCATGACACTTGGGACTCCAGGAGAAAGAGAGGATCTCTAAAAAGGGTTTAGTGGTGTCCATTTTGTGTTCCTCAAATGATCTCAAAGATGCTACAAGTCTTACTTTAGTTCCCTCCATATGGTAGCCAGAACTCTAAGGTTTTGCTTTAGTAATTCTTATTCATTGACCACCAAATGGAGAAAGCATGGGCTGAAAAAAGCCAGCAAAAGGAAAAAAGGGGGAGAAACATATTGAATTAGTCTTAGAGGAACCAGATTAGGGAAATTTCAAGTTTTCTATAAAGGCCAATAAAGTTCTAGTTAGCTAAGCTTCAAGAATAAGGGGTTCAGTTGACTTAGAAGTTCCCACGGAAGAAATATAATTCAAAAACAGAGAAAAAGAGAAGGGCCTTTTTTTTTTTTTTAAGTATAACCTGAACATCAGCTTTTAATTAAGCTGACCTTTGACCATAGAGATCTTTTTGAAAAAATATTTTTAAAATCTCTTAACAGATTTCAGCTAGGAGAAACATCTAATATTTCTGGTTTTCAAACTAGTTTTCCTTTCTTTTTTTTTTTTTTTTTTATTTGAGATGGAATCTCGGTGTATCACCCAGGCTAGAGTGCAGTGGCACAATCTCAGCTCATTGAAACCTCCACCTCCCTGGTTCAAGGGATTATCCCACCTCAGCCTCCCGAGTACCTGGGACTGCAGGCATACAATAATACGCCAGGCTAATTTTTTTGTATTTTTATAGAGATGAGGTTTCACCATGTTGGCCAGGCTTGTCTCAAACTCCTGACCTCAGGTGATCTGCCCACCTCGGCCTCCCAAAGTGCTGGGATTACAGGCGTGAGCCACCGCGCCTGGCCGGTTTAGGTTGATTTTTATTTTTTCAACCTATGGATGTCCAATTTTTCCAACACTATTTATTGAAAAGGATATTCTTCCTCCATTAGGTTGCATTTGTGCTTTTTTCAATAACAGTTGGGCAGTCTCCAGCTGCAAGATCAACTCTTCCCTTAGTCTTTAGCCTGCCAATTTACCTTTCTGACTTTCCAGCTTCTGCAACCACATAATCATGTGAACCAAAGTCTTAAAAATCTCTCTCT
The DNA here is from genome assembly GCF_000001405.40 of Homo sapiens. Classification (NCBI taxonomy): domain Eukaryota; kingdom Metazoa; phylum Chordata; class Mammalia; order Primates; family Hominidae; genus Homo; species Homo sapiens. The sequence goes on along the minus strand of NC_000024.10, from coordinate 3,210,993 downwards.
TAGTAGACAGATAGATAGATACATACAGGTAGATAGATACATAAATGGATACTATGTATATATTTATATATCTACACCTGTAAATATCCTGTTGGTTCTCTTTCTTTGGAGAACCATGACAACTACAGCTTTTGTTACCAAAAATGGTTCTAGAGGGACAGAGTTTTAAGGATGAGTTTTCTGAATAGCTTCTGGAGTTTCTTGAATTAGTTCTCTAATCAATTTAAATTTATAGACACTGCTGTGCTCTCAAATAGTAATGACTATATTTCCAAAGTTGAGGAGAGTACTGAGAGTCCATGGCATATTGTGGCAATAAAAATACACAAAATATCACAATTGGATACTCCCAATCAAATACTTATAAGAGGCAAGATTTTGAATGACTATGTATTTGGTATTTTAGAACATTCTTAACAAACTAATGAATATAAGGAAACAGGCTGGTTACTCCTAATCTTGCTGAACAAAGTGGAGAAAACAGAGCATAAGCTCAGGTATTTATGTGTCAGCCTATGTGTTACATAAATGACCGGAAAGTTTCCATGTCTGCCCTGAAATAAACGCTTATTGTTTGTACCCTCAGAGATGAGATTGCTGGAAAACAAACCAAGAGTTTCATTTGGTAAGTGGCTGAATCACAACCCAAACTGAATTTCAAACCTCAGAAAATGTCTGCTGTTAAAGTGAGATGATTGATTGGAAAGAAATGGAATCCTGAAACTTGAAATGGGATATCAGGGCAGACTGTGATGAACCTAAGGATGCTGAGTCCTTAAATTTTCATGAGTCTTCTCTGTAAGTGGAGAAGCCTCTGCAACCCCATCTAAGGAGATTAATCCTACACTGCCTAAGGAAACTGTAATGGCTCCCCTAAGGTAACTGCCTTGCAAGATACTGCTTCTTCTCATGATCCACCCTCAACACTACTCTTTACTTCTATACCTATAACTAGACTCAAGTCCCAGAAGGGACTGAAAGGTGAAATACAAAGTGTAATTCATGAGGTGTGTTACACTTCAAAAGAACTACATTTTTTTTTCCAATTTACACATGTGAGATCATGGTGGAAGAAACTTAAAGTTGGATTAGGCTAAATTTATTGATATGAGCCCACCAAACAGAGATTCTCAAATTAAGGTTGTAGCCCAGGAATTTATAAAGGGCTTCAGTAGTTGATTTGGTTGGCTGTCTGAAACATGGACCAAAAGGTGGCCCTCAGCAAATGAAGGAGAGATGTCAAAACTTTTTTTTTTGGTATGCTGTGGGTGAAGGAACTAAAGCACTTAGAGAGATTGGAATGTAACAGTGCATTTGTCTTTTAAGACCTGCTCATCCATGTCAGTAGGGTCCAAATAACAAATCTTTTACCATGAGAAAAAAAAAATGTTAGGGGAGCTTTAGCATCCTTGAACACCTCTATGGTCATTCTTCTCTGTGAGTCAGAACTTACATTGGAAACTACTGCCACCAAATTGGGAAATCTAAATGCAGTAAGGGAAATTGGATCTTAAGGTGGCAGGGGTCAAGTGGCAGCACTCAATTCCCCCCAAAAAAGTGGGCATGGTTACTATAATGGACATCAGAGTCAAAGAAGTAATCAGAATAATCTGACTTGAAGAGACCTATGGTGTTGGGTATTTAATCACAGTGTTTCTAAATGTGAAATTGATAGGAAACCTACTAAATTCTTACTTTATCTGTATAAATAGAAAATGTTTAGGTAAAGTGAACAAACATCTAGCCTGAATCGTAAAAAGAGATAGTAGTTGTGACCTCTTAATCAGTTCCCAGACATGAAGCCAGTTTACAGACCCAGAACCCCTTTAATGAAAGAAAGACTGGGTCCACTTGAGAAAAGAGTCTGTTACATTGCCAAAAATTTACACAGTTAATCTTACTACAAGCATTCTTCCAAGAGATTTATGTCCTTTCACTATGATGTCTGTGCAGTGAGAAAAATGACATAATCAGAAACTTTCAGGAATTACTGCATACTGGCTCTGAACTGACACTAATAACATCACTCTGATGCACCAAAGTAAGAACTTATAGAGGTCAGATGATCAATGATGTTTTAGCTCTGGTCCACCTTCAGGATCTAGAGGGTGCCCCAAATCATTCTGTGCTTAATTCCCTAGTTTCATAATCTATAATTGGTATAGATAATCTCAGGAACTGGCACAGTCCCCACATGGGTTCCCTGACTTGTGGAATGAAGGTCATTATGGTAGGAAAGGTCAGGTGGGAGCCAGTATGTATTAGTACATTCTCACACTGCTATAAAGATACTACCCAAGATTGGGTAATTTATGAAGGAAAGAGGCTTAATTGACTCACAGTTCTCCATGGCTGGGGAGGCCTCGGGAAATTTACAATCATGGCAGAAGGTGAACGGGAAGCAAGGACCGTCTTCACATGGTAGCAAGAGAGAGAAGAGTGAGCAAGGGAAATGCCGGATGCTTATAAAACCATCAGATCTCATGAGAACTCACTCACTATCATGAGAACAGTATGAGGGAAACCGCCACCATGATCCAGTCACCTCCCTCCGTTGACATGTGGGGATTACAATTCCAGATGATATTTGGGTGGGGACACAGAGCCAATCCATATCACAGTAGAACTGCCACTACCTGGAAGAATAGAAAACAAAAAGAGAGGCCGGGCGCAGTGGCTGACGCCTGTAATCCCAGCATTTTGGGAGGCCGAGGCGGGCGGATCACGAGGTCAGGAGATCGAGACCATCCTGGCTAACATGGTGAAACCCCGTCTCTACTAAAAATACAAAAAATTAGCCGGGCGTGGTTGCAGGCTCCTGTAGTCCCAGCTACTCGGGAGGCTGAGGCAGGAGAATGGCCTGAACCCGGGAGGCGGAGCTTGCAGTGAGCCGAGATGCGCCACTGCACTCCAGCCTGGGCGACAGAGCAAGACTCCGTTAAAAAAAAAAAAAAAAAAAAAAAAAGAAAAGAAAAGAAAAGAAAAAAAGAAATGACATATTCCTGGATGGACCGCAGTGACTAGCATCACCACAGTGGACATTAAGGATGCAGGAGCAGTGATAATCAGCATATCTCTATTCAGGTCACCTACTTGGTATGTACAGAAAACAAATTTTGGACGATTGCCATAGATTATCATACTCTTAACCTGGTGGTGGCTCCAACTGCAGCTGCTGTACCAATGTGAAAATCCACATATCCTCTGGTACCTGGTATGGAGCTGTTGATCTGGAAAATGTTTTTATCTCTTTACCTTTTAGTAAGAGCCATGAGAAGCAGCTTAATTTCAGCTTGTATGACCAACAATAAAAGGTCACTGTCCTAACTCAGGGGGTATATTAGCTATTCTGTCTTATGTCATAATTTTTCAGAGATTTTGATCACCTTTTTCTTCTATAAGAAGTCACACTGGTCAAATACACTAGTATCATTATGCTGATTGGATCTATAGAACAAGAGGTAGCGATAATTCTACAATAAATGGTAAGATATTGGTGAGAGAGTAGAAAATAAATCTCAATACACATCAGAGACCTTTACCAGAGCGAAATAGCCATAGTACTGTGTTTGTGTCATGTAAATATATCCCTTATAAGCTGAAGAATAAGTTTTTGCATGAGACCCCTCCCACAACCAAAAAAGTTGCACAATGCTTAGTGAACCTTTTTGAATTTTAAAGGCAACATATTCCTCATTCGTGTATGCTATCTTGGCCTATTTATTGAGTAACCCAAAAAGCTGTCAGTTTTGAGTAGAGCTCAGAACAAGAGAAGACTCTGCAGCAGGTGCAGGGTGCTGTGCATGCTGCTCTGTCACTTGAGCTATATGATGCAGCAAATAAAATGGAGCTTGAAATGTTCATGTCAGACAGGGATGCTGTTTGGAGCCTTTGGTAGGACCTTATAGATAAATCACAGTGCAGGGCCTCAGGAATTTGTAGGAAACTCTGCTATTCTCTGCAGATAACTACTTTTCTTTTGAGAGACAGCCCTTGACTCACTATTGGGCCATGGCAAAGACTGAATGCTTAACCACAAGCCACCAAGTTACCATGTAACTGAAGCTGCCCATAACTAACTAAATAGTCTCTGAAATACCAAGCCATAAGGTTAAGGAAGTATAGCAGCACTTCATTATGAAATGAAAGCAATAACTCCAGATTGAGTTTCAGCAGGCTCTAAATGCAAAGATGTGTTATATGAAGCAGTGACCTAAATGCCTATGGTCCCCACTCCTGCAGCATTGCCTTGTCTCTCCCAACCTGCCCCTATGGCCTATTTGGAAGTTTCCTATGATCATTTGATAGGGGAAGGGAAGACCTGGGCCTGGTTTGCAAATGGTTCTGTGTGATATGTAGGCATTACGTAAAAGTTGATAGTTAGAGAACTGCAGCTCCTTTCTGGACATACCTGAAAAGCAGTATTGAAGAAAAATCCTCCTAATGGGCAGAACCTCAAGAAGTGCACCTGGCTGTTTACTTTGTTTGGAAGAAGAAATGGCCAGATTTGCAGTTATGTGTCAACTCATGGCAATGGTTTGGCTTAAAGGTTAGAAAATTTATAGAACATCATTTGAAAATAGTTGTCAAGGAAGTCTGGGGAAAAGGTATGTGGATAGACCTCTCAGAATGGGTGAAGAATTTGAAGATATTTGTATTCCGTATAAATGCTCAACAATGGATGACCTTAGTAGAGAAATTTTTTAACAATCAAGTAGATAAGATCACCCATTCTGTGGAGGATACCAGATAGCCTCTTTCCTAGCCACCCCTATAATCCCCCAGTGAGCTCATGAATAAAGTGGCTATGCTGACAGGGATAGAGTTTATGTCTGGGCTCAGCAACATGGCCTTCCATTCACCAAGGCTGACCTGGCTATGGCCACTCCTGAGTGCCCAATCTGCTAGCATCAGACACCAACACCAAGTCTCTGATATAGCACCCTTCCTTGGGGAGATCAGCAAGTAGATTACATTGGAACACTTCCATTATGGAAAGGGTAGTGTTTTTTTGTTTTTTTTTTTTTCTTCTTTTTTCCTTGCTGGAACTTAAACTCATTCTGGAAATGGATGTTCCTTTCCCGCATGTGCAATGCTTCTGCTAAAACTACCATCTGTGGACTCACAGAATGCCTTACCATGTATTCCATACTTATTGCTTTGTATCAAGAAACCTACTTCACAGCAAATAAGGTGTGGCAATGGGCCTATGCTTATGGAATTTATTCGTCTTACTATGTTTCTCACCATTATAAAGCAGCAGGCTTAATAGAACAGTGGAATGGCCTTTTGATGACTCAGTTACTATGCCAACTAGGGTTACTATCTTGAAAGGCTGGGGTAAGATTCTTCAGGACAATGTTTATGCTCTGAATCAGCATCTAATTTGGTGCTGTTTCTCCCATAGCTAGGATTTCTGTGTCCAGCATTCAAGGAGTGGAATTGGTAGTGGCACGATTAGCTATTACCCCTAATGATCCACTTTGCTTCCTGTTGCCGTGACCTTATGCTCTGCTGGCCTAAAAGTCTTATTTCCAAAGGGAAAATACTTCTGCCAGGAGGCACAATAATGATTACATTGTACTTGAAGTTAAGAATACTACCTGGCTACTTTGAGATACTTATCCCATTGAATCAATAGACAAATAAGTGAGTTATTGTGCTGGTTGAGGTGATTGATCCTGATTACCGGGAAATTAAACTGCTACTTAACAATACCATAAGAATACAGGAGTCTGAAATACAGGAGATCCCTTGGAGTATCTCTTAGTGTCACCATTTGCTATGTTTAAAGTGAATGGAAAACTGCAACAACCCAATTCAGACAAAACTGCTAATAAAGCAGACATTCCTGAAATGAAGTTTTGTTTACCCCACCAGGTAAATACCCATGACCAACAACTGAGGTGTTTGCTGAAGGCAAAGGAAATGTTAAATGGGTAGTAGGAGATTGTAGTTGTAAATAGAAATGCTCCTTGACTTATAATGGGGTTACATCCTGATAAATCCATTATAAGTTGAAAATATTGTAAATGAAAAATGCATTTAATACACATAACCTACCATACAGCATAGCTCAGCTTAGCCTACCTTAAAAATGCTCAGAACAGTATTATGAGACAGTATCATACAACATATTGCCAGCTTGGGAAAATATCAAATTTCAAAATTTAAAGTATGATTTTTACTGATTGTGTATCACTCTCACATCATCATCAAGTCGAAAAATTGCCAGCAAAACAATTGTAAGTTGGAGACTGCCTGTATATTCCATGACTGTATGATGAGTTACAGAAATGAGGATGTAATTGTCGTAAATAGTTTTTCTTATTTTACTGCAAACATATTTATATATATATATGAGTAGAAATATATATACATATATACATTCAACTATCTATATAATGTTCAGTAAATATCATTTTTCTTCTATATCTAATCCTCTTTTTATATAATATAAGGTATTTTTATTTAACAGCATAATATTTAAGCATTTTTAACTGTATATTATAGTAATTAAATTCTAGAATATCAAGAAGAAAAGTGAATATTAAACAAAGATTTTGCATCCTTTTCTGGAGAAAATGTTAGTGCATTTTTAGTTGTATGTAGTAAAATGTATCATGTTAAGCAGAAGTATAACTTTGTAATTTTGTGTATTTTGAGATTATAGTTTGATATGCATATGAGTGCCAAATTGACAAAAGGTAGACTTGTGAAGGTTAATTTTATGTGTCAATTTGGATAGGCTATGTACCAGTGTATTTGGTGAAACATATTAGGATGTTTCTGTGAAGGTATTTTTTGGTGAGATTAATATTTAAGTTAGCAGACTTTGAATAAAGCAGAATGCCCTCTATAATGTGGGTGGGCCCCATGCAATCATTTCCAGGATTTAAGAAAAAGACTGATCTTCTCTGAGAAAAAGGGAATCTGCCCACTGACCTCCTTAGTACTGGGGCTGAAACACAGACTATTCCATGAGTCTAGTCTGCTTGCTGGTCTACCAGCAGAGCTGGGACTTGCCAGCCTCCACAGTTTTGCAGCCACTTTCTTAAAGTAAACTCTCTCCCCTCCCCTGAACCCACACACACGTTCTATTGGTTCTATTTTTTTTCTGGAGAACACTGTCTACTATAGGAATAAAATACCATAATAAGATTGCACTAATCACAATTTATTCCTGAAATGGGAAGGAACCCAATGTCATCTAATACCTGAGCAGAAGTGGGGATTTGTGACAAAGAAAAATATGGGGAATGTATATTCAGTGGAAACAAATAGTGTCTGTTACAATCATATTTTGGATGTCTGCAATCTTGATTGTGAAATTGACTATTTTTACTAAGCACAAGTTTGTATCAAAAAAGAATACATCCTTCAATGAGGAAACACAAATGACCAGACTTCCTTCCTTCTTTCTTTTCTCCTAACCCAATTGTAGGGATATACAGAGAGAAAGACTATAGAGAAAGAAAACCTCTGATTCTATGGGAATTTGTCTAGTTAAATAATGTGTACTGATGTATTTGAACTAACAGTTAAAAAACAAACAGTAACAGATCTTTATTGAGCACCTTTTGCGTACGGTTCTGAAGACATAGCAGTTGATAAAACAGGAAGAAAAAAATAGCCCCCAGATATTACACTCAAGTGTTGTGTAGATTCATTGTATTAATCTATAATGTACCAAGTAAATATATCTCTTTCCATCTGGTTCTTAAAGTATTTTAAATGGCTTTATTAACACATAAATCACATGGATAATGGATACAAAAATAGTTAGAAAATGTGAATAGTATTTAGTATTTCATACCACAACAGTGACTATCATCAATAATAATTTAATTGTACATTTTACAATAACTAAAAAAATATAATTGGAGTGTTTGTAACACAAAGGATAACTGCTTGAGGGGATGGATACCCCATTTTGCATGACGGGGTGTCTTTATCAAAATATCTCATGTACTCCATAAATATATACACCTACTATGTACCCACAAAAATTAAAAATAAAAAAATAAAAAGATGTAATTTACATGCCATACAATTTATGCATTTAAATTTTATAATTTAATGGTTTTTAGTGTATTCAATTATATATGCAACCATCATCACAGTCAATTTAGACTTTTCAATCAGCCTCCAAAGAAACCACATTCTATTACATGTTTGTGGATTTGTCTATTTCTCCATTCAGATCCATGCATTTTAATTTCATTTAATTTTAGGCTATCTTGTTTTGTGCTTACACATTTCGGATCATCATGCCTTTTTTGTTGGCTAATCTATTTATCATTGTGTAATGCTCCTCTTTATCACTACTAATTTTCATTGCACTAAAGTTCTACTGCTGCCACTGTGGCTGTAGACCCATCCCCTGCATCACACCCACGGCTGCATACTGGTGTGATGCAGGGGATGGGTTGGCCCCTGGATCTCTGGTGGTGACTCAGCAATAGGCAGTTCAGGCAGCTTGCTCCATCAGGTATGGGTTTACTCATTAAGTCCCAGCTGAGATTCTCATTACCCTCCACTACACGCCCCCTTCCCCCGAACTTATTCCCCAGAGCTAACCTCTTGGCAGTTCTGGGTTTCAGATCTCTGTTATGTTCCATCCAGGATATATGGAAGATAAAAAAAGAAAAAAGCACAAAATTCACCATGATTATGTTCTTCAAGTCCTGATGTCCTTAGGCATTTCACCTTTCTTTCCACCCTTCAGAATTCTTCTTTCATTTTGAATTATTTCTAGGGCATTTGGTTTTATTGAGCAGGAAAGAAAAGGAAATGGAAAGTCTAGGCCATCTTGTCTCAGAACCAGAGCTCTACATCCATATATAAAATATATATTTAAGATTTGCATGCAGGTTTATTGAAAAGTGTTCTTGTGATTAACACCTGTAATAGTGAAGGAAGCAGGGTTGGCAGTGGCAGAAGTTCAATAGCAATGCAACCACTACAACTCCCTGTTTTGTATACAGGGAATTCTGGAGCTGAAATGATCTTTCAGAGTTTCCAGGTGAAGCAAAGGGTGGAGTATTTGTAAGCTATGCAATAATCACTGGAAGTAAGCTACCTCCAGGACAGAAGTACAATCTTGTGAGAGGTAGTTTACTTTCAAAGAGGGTGATTTTCTGAGAGTGTCTAAGCTGTGAGCCATTGACAATCAACATTCCTGACAGTTTAGGGAATGAATTCCTAGATCTGCCAAATAGATGTCAGCACCCAGTACACCTAGAGAACTTGCAAAACTTTCAGACTGAGACTCTAAAGCAGGATATTCTGATTAGGAAAATCTACAGTTGAGCATGCGATATCTGTACTTTAAAATTCTCCACAAGTATTTCTGGTACACAACCGGGGTTGAAAACTACCTGTTTATTTGATTAATTATCAGCCTGGTTCTGATGGATACATGCATGAAGGAGATGGAAAAGAAGAAAAAGATTAACATGAAATGGGAAGAATCTGTGAACATGTTTAGAGAGCCTACATCTTTTAGTGAGTCATGAAGTAAATGTAATGATTTCATTGATGGTGATAAGAGAGAATTTTCAGTGAATATGTAATCAAGCAATATAAGTGAAAGCACAACATGCACAGAAAATTCACGAGGTAGTGATCATACAGTGATTTTAACTATATGCTTTATACACAGATCTGGGACTAATTTTCTGATATCATGTGCTGTGTGACATTCTGTAAGACAGTAGTCCCCAGCTTTTTCAGTACCAGGGAACAGTTTTGTGGAAGACAATCTTTCCGTGGATGGGTGTGGGGTGGGATGAAACCGTTCCACCTCAGATCAGATCAGATCATCAGACATTAGATTCGCATAAGGAGCACACAACTTAGATCCCCCACAGGTGCAGTTCACAATAGGGTTCACACTCCTATGAGAATACAATGCCACTACTAACATGACAGGCAGTAATTCTTGCTAGCCTGCTGCTTACCTCCTGCTGTGCAGGCCAGCTCCTAACAGGCCACAGAGCAGTACCAGTCTGTGGCCCCGGGGTCAGGGATCCCTGATGTAAGATACTGAAACTTTTGAAATCTTCTTTCCATGAAATGAAGTTCCTTCATTCAATAACGATTTATTGAATGTCTACCATATACAAATCACTTCTCTAGGTACTGGTGTACAGTGTTGAACAAAACAGTCATGGTCCCTATTCTTGTAGGCATAATATGTACCTCTTAAAATTATTGCCTGTATATGACATACTGCATATACAAGTACTTATCACGCTGCTTAGTACATGTGGGCTCAATGAGCTGCTAGTACAAGTGAGCTTAGTACATGTGAGCTTAGTACATGTGAGCCAGCTGTTGTTTGTGTTAATAGCATAATTACACCTGGAGCAGGATGTCTAGTGACCTGTAAATAGACAGTAAAGATCAGTTACAGCAAGATATTTAAAACCAAATTTAAGACTTTTGACATACATTCATAAATTATAGAAAGGAGTTATGGATTTTCTTTTTTAAGTTATATTTTATTTCTAATTGCAAATAATAATTTTATATATTTATGGGGTACAATGTGGTGTTTTGTTACATGTACATTGTGGAATAATCAAATATGGTCAATTAACATATTTATCCCACCCAAATACTATCATTTCTTTGTGGTGAGAGCATTTAAAATCCCTTTTTTAGCTGTTTTGATATAAACAATATATTATTATTATCAATTACAAATTAGGTATAGAAGAAAAGTTCACCAACAAGAAAATCCATGTATGACAATCCAACAGCTAACATCATACTCAATGTGAAAAGTTGAAGCCTTTTCCTCTAAGATAAGGAAAAAGACAAGAATGTGGCCTTTCTTTCTAAACATTTTTTAAACATGGCAAATACTTTTTAAAACATATTTTTAAACTTACTGTCCAATACACCAAAACAGTCAAATGGGGAAAGTTAATTTCTTCAAGAATGGAAGGTGGAAAAATTGCATTTTCATATGAAGAAAAGTAATCTCACATCCTCACATCATACATAAAAGATAATTCAAGATGGACCACAGAGTAAAAGGTAAAATTTCAAAATACAAGGTAAAAGAAATCATACTACAATACCTCCATTAATTAAGTGAAGGGAAGGAAATCTGAAGTCATAAGAAATAATAAGCATAATAAAAAAATGGAAAAACTAGACTTCACCAAAATGTAAAACTTCTTAGCAAAATACCCTGTTAAGAAAATAAATAGACCGGGCGCGGTGGCTCACGCCTGTAATCCTAGCACTTTGGGAGGCAGAGGAAGGTGGATTGCCTGAGCTCAGGAGTTCAAGACCAGCCTGGGGAACATGGTGAAACTCCATCTCTATTAAAAATACAAAAAATTAGCCTGGCGTGTTGGCGTGTGCCTGTAGTCCCAGCTACTCGGGAGGCTGAGGCAGGAGAATTGCTTGAACCTGGGAGGCGGAGGTTGCAGTGAGCCAAGATCGTGCCATTGCACTCCAGGACAGAGCGAGACCCCATCTAAAAAAAAAGAAAGAAAGAAAGAAAAGAAAATTAATAAGCAAGTCAAAACTAGCAGAAAATATTCAAAAAATATATATCTGACAAAATGCTGGTATTGATCATATATTTTAAAAACACAAATCTATTTAAAAACAACAATTTTTTAAAATAGGGAAGTATTATAACACTCCATTTAAATAAACTTTTTTGTTTAAGAAATAGGGAAGTATTCTAACACACACTTCACCATTAACATGAAAAAGTCATCAGAAAGATTTTTTCACATTAAATATACGGTGTAGTACATTCACCAGAGTGGCTAAAATTACAAATAAAGACTAACAACACAAAATGCCATTTGAGTGTAAAGCAAATTAACTCTAATTGTTAGTAGGAGTGTAAAAAACCACACTAAGTTTGATAAGTTTAGCAGACTCTTAAAAATCTAAATAATACTTATTCTTAATAGTCAAGAACTGGAAATACAGACATCCATCAATAGGAGAAAAGATTAACATTATATGGATAATTAGTATTACTAGACCGATTAAACTCTTCTTCTGCCCCTGAATCCTTGTCAATCACGGATCTTTTCAACATTGCTATAGATTTGCCTTTGCTGGAGTATGGTATCATTACAATCATATGATATGAAGCCTTTTCTGACTGGCTTCTTTCACTTCACAATATGCATTTTAAATTCATCTATGTTTTCTGTGGCTTGATAGTTCAATTTTAAAAATCAATAGATTTTTTTTTAGCTGTTTTTGCCTTACAGAAAAATTGAGTAAAAGGTACACAGAGCTTGCTCTGGGGTTTCTCCCCTTTCTCCAGTTCCCATTATTATTGGTATCTTGCATTAGTGTGGTGCATTTATTACATTTGACGAGTTAACATTAATATGTTGTTATTAACTAAAGTCCGTAATTCCCATTAGAGTTCACTCTTGGTGTTGTACACACTATGGATTTGAACAAATTCTCATATACAGTGATATGTATCTACTATTATAGTTTCATAAAGACAGTTTTAATGCCCTAAAAATCTACCATAATAGATTTATTCATCCCTCCCTCCTCCCCCCTAAAACCCTGGCAAACACTGATCTTTTTATTATCTAATTTTAATTTTTCCAGGATGTGAAAAAAGTGAAATTATATTATATGTAGCTCTTCCAGACCAGTTCCTTTCAATTAGCAATGCACATTGAAGATGTATCTAAACATTCACTGTCAAAACCAATCACCTAGATTTTGTGCTGTCATCATATCCGAGTTCTATAGTTTTGTATTTCATATTTAGATCTATGATCCATTTTGAGTTTTGTGTGTGTGTGGAGAGAAACATGTAAAATTTGTGTTTAGATTCATATTTTTTTTGCACATGTTAGACCAAATATTCCAGCACCATTTGTTGAAAATACTATTCTTTCTCCATTTAATTGACTTTGCTCTCTTGCCACAGGTCAGTTGAATATATTAGCATGGTTGATTTATGGAATTTCTATATTGTTACCTGGATCTATGTTTCTATTATTTGCTAATACTATGTTGTCTTAATTACTGTAACTTTACAGCAAGTCTTGTCATCATGTAGGGTGTGTCCTCAAACTACTTCTTTAGTATTTTGTTGTCTATTCTGTCTTTTGCTTTTCATACAAACTTTAGTGTTTCAATATATACAAACAATTTTCTGAGTTCTAATATGGAGTGCATTGAATATGTAGATTAAATTAAGAAGAATTTGAGGCACGATAAGTAAGATTAGGAGCCTATACTGGCTTGTCCCTTTGTATGAAGCCCAGTGGGCGCTGCATCCCTTGCACACCTGTGCAACAGCACCTAATTCTTTTGCAAGGTAAGCAGTCCTACAGGATACCAACAGACTGCCAGATAGTTACATGTTCCTGATACCTAGTACAGCCTGGGAAAAAGAAAAAACGTCCCTTATTCCCGATGTAACTTCCAACTTCCCCAGTCTCCCATCAATCAGCACCAAAAGCCCAAGAGATATTAGCTACAAATTCCTGCCTGAGTAGGAGGCAACAGGGGCTTCTCTGGACTCCCATATGTGCAGCTAGGCTCAAGGTTTAATTTAGTAACCTTTCCCTTATTTTAACAGTAAAAAAAACATGCTCCCTAGGTGGAGATTTTCTACACTGATGATACATGTGATGCATTTTATAGCATGTAGATACTAAGCACATTTACCAACCACAGGCCCGCCTTTACATAGTTGACCTCATCAGTATTTTATGAATACGTATGTACAGGTTGCATAAAGGGAATTTCCCTTAAGACACTAGGGGCTGTCTTGCTTTTTGAGCAGCCCACTCTGCCTCTCAGTGAGCACTTTTGCTTTGAAATAAACTTCTTTATTTTGACTTTGCAATAAACTTTTGCTTTGCAATAAACTTCTTTACTCTGACTTTGGACTCCCAGTGAAGTCAAGAAATTGAATCAGGCCACTGACAACAAATGGACATATTAATATTGAGTCTTCTAATTCATAGACACAGAGTAACACTCCATTCATTTATTTCTTGATTTATTTATTTTTCTCCATTTATTTAGAGGTTTGATTTCTTGCATAAGATTTTTGAAGTTTCCCCACATAGATCCTGTATATGTTTTAATAAATTTATATCTAAGTATTCTGTTTTTGGGTGCTATAATAGTGGTGTATTTTTTATTACAGTTCTTATTTCTATAACTCATTGCTGATATATAAGACATCAATTTATTTTTATTTATTTTCCTTTTATTCTGCAACCTTGCTATATTTATGCATTAGTTCCAGTAGTTATTTTGTCAACTCTTTTGGACTTTGTTAATTCTTTGGGATTTTCCACATAGAGAACATGTCATCTGTGAGTAAATACCGTCATTTTACTTCTTCCCAGTCTATATATATTTTCTACACTTGTCTTGTTGTACAAGCTAAGACATTCCAATAGTACAATGTGGAATAAGTGACAAGAGAGGACATTCTTGACTTATTCTTGATGGTGGGAAAGCATACAGTTTCTCATCTTTAAGTATAATGATAGTTATTTGTGTGACGAACAGTGTTTTATAAGTGTTCTTTAACAAGTATTCCTATTTTTTGTTTGCTGGGAGGGTTTTTCTTTGGGTTTAGTGATAAAATCATATGATGTGATTATTTTTCTCATTCTGTTCTTATGGTAGACTACATTATTATTAGAATGCTGAAACAGATTTGCATACCTAGAGTAAATTTTAGTAAATTTTACTGAATATAGATTTTTAGGTTTGTGGGTTTTTTTAAAAAAATACTTTAAATATTTTATTACACTCTTTTGTTGCTTACACAGTTTTTGATGAGAAACGACTGTAGTTTTTAATTCTTTTTTCCATGGTAAGGTACCAGTTTTTATTCTGGTATTTATTTCTTTCAAGATTTTCTCTCTTTTTACTTTTCTACAGTTCAAACATATATGTTTAGGAGCTTCCTGTTAAATTCTTCAACTTGGTGTTTCCTGTGTTTCTTGAAACTGTGATTTGCTATCTGTTATTAATTTTGAATGTTTCCAAGCATTATCACTTCAAGTATTCTGTTGTCCTTTTTTCCCTTTTGTTATTACAATTAAGAATATGTCACACCTTTTGAAGCTGTTCCACAATTTTCTTCCTTTTCTGTTTCATCAGTTTTTTGTAATCTTTGCATTCTAGTATGGAAAGCTTTTATTGCCTTATCACTAAGCTTGCTTATTCTTTCTTTGTCCATATACTGATAAGCCTGTCAAGGGCCTTCGTTTTGATTTTTAGAGTAGTTTTTATTTCTGGTATTTTCTTTTAATTTTTTTTTTTTTAGTGCTTCCATCACTGTTCTTTTGTGTTACCTTTTTTTCCCTTTAGTATCCTTAACATTTTAGTCACAGTTATTTTATATTGTCTATCTTACAACTCCAATATCTATGTTGTATCTGAGTCTGGTTCTGATTCTTCCTTTGATTCTTAACACTGTGTTTCACTTGCCTTTTTGCGTGTTTTATTTTTATTTTTCTTGAAAGGCAGACACTGTACCAGATAATAATGTTGTGCGACTTTTTCCTTAGTTGAGCTCAAGACTGGGTCCTTATCACAAGACCACAAAAAACTAGGCTGGCAGACAATTTGAAGAGTGAAGAGGGCAGGGTTTATTGGGTGAAAGAAAAAGAAGGAAACAGGGACTCTCCACAAGGCCAGAGTCCCTCCTAGAGTGCTTCCTGCCTGGCAGATTGAACTCCAGGTTCCACCTAGGAAGAGGAGGGACCAGGCTCCTCCCCGCTGCAAACAGCGCGAAATTCTGTGGCTCCACCCCAGCGCACTGCTCCCAGTGTGCAGTCCGGCTGGAGTTTTTCTGGGGATCCTTTCCTACCTGGCTGTCTCAATAAGAACTGAGGTAAGTACAACTTTAGAAATTGGCCTTTGCTCATTGTTTGCTGTTTGTGTAGGTGTCAGAGGCTACAAATTTCTCCACTATCCTTGTTGTCATCTCCACTGTTGTCTTTTGCTCAGAGAAAGCCTGTGCTGTTCAACTCTTTAGAATTTAATCCACTGTTATTGTACCGTAGGTGGTAAGTTATGAGGAAGTATGTTGTTCTATAATCATCTGGGTAAACTTTAGTCTTTAAGCGGGCCTGTGTCTCAGGTCTGTAGCTTCACAAGTGTTTCTCCTGTGGTGTAACCTTTTTCCCTGCTTGTCCCCTACTCCCTTCTTTCGCTGCAGTATTCTGAATTTATTTCCTAGAAGCGCTATTTAGTATTATATCATCCTTTATGGTGTGAGTTAGTAAGTCTGGAGAGGATTGAAGTGGAATCAAAACCCTTGCCCCAGTTGGTATAAGGTTCTGGCAATGTATTTCTCTCTGGAGAGTATGCCTTTGTCATGGAGAAGAAGGCTTTGGGTTTATTCCAAGATGATTATTTTTCTCTCCTCATGCCAAAGCCATTAGGGGATATTTCTCATATCTTCTCCTTGTTAACCTGTTCTAGTTCTTGTAGGTAAGGCCTGTGAAAGTTCAGGGGGCCCTAAAAATGTGGCCCCTCAAAAGATTCTAATTTTTATTCTAATCTATACTTAGTTTTCAACAATTCAGTAAAATTACCATATAACTGCCCCTAAGAGTTTATGGCTCCAGCAGCTTTCCTCCCAATTACCCAGACACAGTTTGTCTCTTAGGGGCCATCTAACTCCCTAGATTTCAAGTTGGCAGTTTGTCCTGGGACCTTAGTTCTGTGATAGGGCCAAGCAAAGTTATTGAATTCCAGCTGATTAAACTTTCTCCTGTAAAGACTGAAGTGAAGACTCTAAATTTTACATGTTGGAGCTGAAATCAAAAGTCCCTGAGGACTTCAAATTTATTTTTTATTCCTAAAATATTTCATATTACATAGAGTTACTTTAAGTACATTTAAAATACTCATGTAGAAGCTACGAATTTTGTTTTTAGTAGTCTATTATAAACAGGTCATTAAAGTAAATGACTACCCAAATGATGGCTAGTATGGTGTCATAATTTTTTTTTTTTTGAGATGGAGACTTGCTCTGTCACCCAGGCTGACGTGCAGTGGCACGATGTCAGCTCACTACAACCTCCGTCTCCTGGGTTCAAGCGATTCTCCTGCCTCAGCCTCCCGAGTAGCTGGGATTACAGGTATGTACCACCACACCCGGTTAATTTTTGTATTTTTAGTAGAGATGGGGTTTCACTATGTTGACCAGGCTGGTCTTGAACTCCTGACCTCAGGTGATCCAGCCCCCCTTGGCCTCTGAAAGTATTGGGATTACAGGCATGAGCCACCGCGCCTGGCCGCCATCATTTTTTATAACAACCTTTTTCGTTTTCTTATATTTCATTAGTTCATAAACTCATACACACACACACATAATATACACACCTATAGCATATAATTTATTTAATAAATGAGAAAAATAATGAACGAATAAGAGCAGCATAAACTAAAAAAAACAAAACCAATACATGTTAACTGAGCCCTGCTATGCATAATTATTTATTACACAAAGAAGTATGAGACACATTATTTTCAATTAAAGAATTTCAATATAATTGTGACAAAAAAGACATGAAAAGTTGAACACAAGAGTTAACAATACATTTACATATATAAGTAAGACCTTCAATTTTCCCTTCATTTCCTGACCATTTCGGTCCTAGTCAGTATGCATAGCAGAGAAAGGTAGGAGACTGCACCAGGGATAAGTGCTTCAGGGACATAGGTGGGATCTGAGAGCCCCAGCAACATGAGGAGGGAGTTCCTGCACACAGGGAGCCTTGCTTGAAGTGTCAGAGCCTGACAGTAGTGAGTAGAGTGACCATGCTCAGAAAGGGACAGTAGGGCATGAAGATTAGCCTAAATAGGTTGACAAAGATTCTGCACAGACGTGTGAGCTACCATGGGGAGTCAGAGCCCAAGTATAGTGAGAAGGGCATCCATGTGGGTTGCAGAGAATAAAAGTGGACAGAGAATGGGAGACTTTTCATATGTCTTATTGTCACAACTATATTTTAATTTATTGAATGAAAAGATAGTGCCTCCTACTGCTTTGTATAGCACATAGCAAGTAAATATATTAAGAATAATGGGAGACTGAGTTTCCATTGTCAGAGAAGACAATTAAAAATATAGAAAAAAAAAACTACGATGCAACAAGCACCATTAGTGTGGAATTAGAGATATTAGTATAAACTCATTGGTTTTAACATATAAAGGTTAATAAAAATTAATTGATATATATTTGGGTGCGCATATGTGTAGATGGATGATGCTCCCATAACAGTGAGTATACTGACTACCTAAATCTATGCTTTTAAATACTATTCTCCACCAATGGGACCAGGGTTCTGTGGGAGAAATTGCTCATTTTGGGGATAAAGAGGAAAAATACAAGATGCATCTAAAATTTCTCGTGCCAGGAAGCAAAGGAGAGCTCAAAGAATATTGGGACATATTAAAATGACATAGAAAGTGGACCTTCATTGGCCAAACTGGGGAAAATTTGAGCATCAAAATAAATAATGGCAATGATAAATTATAACCCATTGCATCAAATTGAGAACCATGAGTCCTCAGAGATAAAACTAAATAAATTAATAAATGGGA
The DNA here is from genome assembly GCF_000001405.40 of Homo sapiens. Lineage (NCBI taxonomy): Eukaryota > Metazoa > Chordata > Mammalia > Primates > Hominidae > Homo > Homo sapiens. The sequence goes on along the minus strand of NC_000024.10, from coordinate 3,192,390 downwards.
ATTTTGATGAGAAATAGGATATTTATGTAGTTTGCAAAGTATTCCCTCATAAAACATTTATTATTAATTGCAAAGCTGAAAAGATTAATTTTACATTGGTGAATACTGGCAGACAGCCCTTTAATCAACTGATCAGTTACCATCAATAATGGGAAAAATCTAAATCACACACCAGCTGACAGAATGCAATGGGAAGAATATAGCCTCACTCTGTGATATCATATCAAAGACTCATAACCTGAAACTAAATAACTAACCAGAAGAAATAACCAAACAGTTTCAAATTGAAGGAATTCTCCAAGATGACTTGTTTTTAATCTTCAAAAGTGTTGAAGTCATGAAATTCAAAGAAAGGCTAGAGAACTATTTTAGAATGAAGACCAAAAGACATGAAGACTAAAGGTAATGTGTGATTATGAACTGTATTCTTTTGATATAAAGGACACTATTTGAATAAGTTGAGAAATTTTAATTGGAAAAGAGCATAATAAAAACTATTACTAGTAATTTCCTAACTTTGATGTTTATGTTATGGTAATACAGAGAATCCTCCCTCTTCTTGTAGGAAACAAACATTAAAGCATCTGGGATACTGGAGAACCATTTTGCCAACTTAGACTCAAATTTTTAGTAAGAAATTTATTTACATGGTAACTCCAACTTTTGAGATTGTTTAAGAAGAATAAAAATATGCTAGCATCATCAAAAGTACATGATTTGAGACTTCCGATTTAAGCTCAAAGATATACAGATCTGGGAAGAATGTCGGTACCTAGGAAAACTTAGATGAACTGCAAATTAATTCCTTTATTAAACCCATAGGAGAATTGCAGTCACAGGGCAATTAACTAATAAGAAATCTTGTAAAATAACATGAGCTTTCAGGGAGAAACAAAACCTGAGTATTTGCTTACTGGTGATACTACCAGGTATCGTATACACCAGTAATAAAATCAAGCTAAAAAATTAATGAATTGCTAAAGGGTGAATGTGGACTAATTGCTAAAGGCTAAGGGCTTGAAAGTGTGAAGCCCCTGAAGTTTCCAAATATAGGAGGCTGCACACCCTCTTTTAGGCTTTTCTTCCAAAAATTCCACCAGATGCTCACAGAAAAGATTGTCACGATACTAAAAAGTTTCACCTCTTGGCTATGGGTTAGAAGAGGGACAGAACAGCCACTGGCAAAATTCTGCACAACCCACATCCCCTATGTTCCTTAATCTATATTGGGGAGGATAACTACCTTAATCTATATTGGACAAACAACAAAACTGTCACCTTGACTCAATGGTGAAGAAACAGAAGAGAAGAATTAGCTACACCCCTGGTGGAGGGGCAAGACTATATACTGGGCCCAGGACTAGAAATAGAGAGTAGACAGCAGCAATTTTGAAGGCCATGTCCGCAAGATCCAGTGACAGAGTGCATGCCTAAAACCAAGGCTTAATCAGAACATCAGATAATGCCTCATTATGTCACCACCCACTACCAAGTTAACAAGTGTTGAGTGAAAATAAGAGTAAAATACAACTTGAAGAGCTACAAGAGACAGGTTTTCTCTGGGGTACAACAACAACAACAAAAGAAAAGACACAGAACCAAAACCCAAATAGAAGCAGACATTGCCAAAATAACTTCTGGTAAAACTACTCAACCTTTTAAACACAACATATCACTGGAGGAATATACAGCCAAAGATGCAGCTGGCATAACCTTAACAACACCAGCTCACTCCTGACTATACTAACACAAACTTCAACAACAAAGGTCTAGCTGAAGAAAATGTGTGTTCATCATTAAGTATAAAAAATATTTAGCTCATTATTTACTGCCCTTTCTAACATGCCTGGCTTTCACAAAAATTATAAGAAATATTAAAAAGGAAGAAAAACACCCTTTCAAGTAGTATGACAATTATTAAAACAAGACTCAGGTATGACAAAGATGCTGGCATTATTTCACAGAACATATTTAAAGTAATAATGAAATGTTTGTCTCTAATGATAAAAGTAGATGACATGAAATATCAGAGTGCTTTCAACAAGCTCATTGATAACTTGAATATAAATGAGGAAAGCACTCATGAACTTGAAGATAGATCAAGTAAAATTACCCAAATCAAAACACAGAAAAAAGTGTGTGTGTGTGCGCGCGCGTGTGTGTTTGTGTTTGTTGGGGGATCATGACAATACATTACAGAAATGTTGTGTTAACAAGAAGATCATGAGATTTGCAGAGGAATAAAGGAGAACTTTACTTTCTAAATTAAAAAAGAAACGAGAAAAACAACAAAGGAGTTGTACATAGGAGAAAAAAACAGTCTGAAGATTGAGGAGGCACAGCCATCATTAAAAATGAAAATGTGCTCTCTGAAGAAGAAAGAGAGGTCTGGCTTAAATAAGGAAAGTTCTTGCCTTGTTCTCTATCAGGTTCATTTATGCAAATAAAGGATTCAAACTTGTTCAGTTATGAATGACCAAAATAGTCGATCCCTGATTGGGTGGTTTTCAAGCCCCAAACCGGAAGCCTCTTTCAGATGTTTCTTTCAAATAGCAAGGAGGAGGAAGAAAATTCTGGCTGTAATTTATCTTGGCAGTAAAAACAGAAACTGGTTTGGCCTGATTATAGAAACGGAGGTGGTGTGATGGCTGTCTTGAATGTCCTCAGTTAGCCATGGGGAGTCTATTTTGTCTGTTGGCCAGGAGCATACAAAAACCCAGATGTAAAGAAGAGAGATAACAGATAATAAAAATATATATATTTGAAGTAATGTGTCCGGGATTGGTTCCTTCCGGTGGGTTCTTGGTCTCACTGACTTCAAGAATGAAACCACAGACCCTTGCAGTGAGTGTTACAGTTTTTAAAGAAGGTGTGTCCAGAGTTGGTTCCTTCAGATGTTCAGATGTGTCCAGAGTTTCTTCCTTCCGGTTGGTTCATGGTCTTGCTTGACTTCAGGAGTGAAGCCGCAGACCTTCGCAGTGAGTGTTACGGCTCTTAAAGGTGGCGCGTCCGGAGTTGTGTGTTCCTCTTGGTGGGTTCCTTGTCTCACTGACTTCAGGAGTGAAGCCGCAGACCTTCGCAGTGAGTGGTACAGCTCTTCAAGGTAGTGCGGACCCAAAGAGTGAGAAGCAGCAAGATTTATGGTGAAGAGCAAAAGAACAAAGCTTACACAGTGTGGAAGGGGACCCGAGCCGGTTGCCACTGCTGGCTTGGGAGGCCAGCTTTTATTCCCTTATTTGGCCCTGCCCATGCCCTACTGGTTGGTCCGTTTTACAGAGTGCTGATTGGCCCATTTTACAGAGTGCTGATTGGTGCATTTACAATCCTTTAGCTAGACACAAAAGTTCTCCAAGTCCCCATCCGACCCAGAAGCTCATCTGACTTCACCTCTCAGTAACAATAACCAAGATTTCCCCAAAATTAATGACAGACTCCAAAATCAAGAAATAACTATAAAAATGATCAACCAGTAGCCCTTGGGGTTTTCTGCCTATGGAGTAGCCATTCTTTTATTTCCTTACTTTCTTAATAAACTTGTTTTTACTTTGCTCTATGGACTGGTCTCAAATTCTTTCTTGTGCAAGATCCAAGAACCCTCTCTTGGGGTCTGGAATCGGACCCCTTTTGTGTAACAACTTTCTGGTGAATGCTGAAGGGACAATAATGAGGAGACCATCCCAACCCAAAGGAAATAGACTGCAGCACTGATGGCCAACTTTTAAGTAAGTGGTGGGGTACCCAGGTAGAGGATGGGATTGGATTAGAGGCCTAACTTAGGGGAGTTAGAGTCTCTCCTAAGACAGAGAGGGTTAAAGGCCTCTCTTAATAAAAGGCAAGGATGCTTGACCAAACATGGATTCAAGGCCCAAGGTTAAAGTCCCTCCTAAGATTTAGGGGGTTGGAGGTCCCTCTCAGTAAAGTTCCCCTCAGCGAAGAACGGGTTTGGCACTATGGGATGCTAACTGCTCTTCTCTTTGGATTAATCTGTCTTACACTCTGCTGACAGCTATGGGTGATAGGATTAGCCATGTACAGGATCACCGGACATGGGGAGATTTTTTCTCTCCCCAAAAGAGAACACTTGAGAGCCGATGGGGCTGCCAGAAAAGATCCTTTCATGACCCACAAGCAGCTGCCTGAACTTTTGATTCAGCATCACTGCAATGGGTGGGTATTTCTCTGACCTGAGTGCCTCACCTTCCCCACCCTGCTACAGACAATGCTTTTGTCTCTCTCTTTCTCTCCTTTCCCTTTATTATATTTTCTATTACTCAGGGCGACCTTCTTGCCCATTGACCCCATGTTGAAATTCCCAGTCAGAGGTTGAATTAACGATGATGAGGCCCAACCTGGGGCAACTTTGAGCCTCGCCAGTTTGATATTGGGTGCTAAGCAGAGTGGCTAATGTCTACCTTTTGTCACATGTGTTTTGCTCTGGCCAGAATGGAAAAAGATAATTTTCCTTTGTGTTGCAGCTTGTCCCCCAAGGCTACAGTGCAAAAAGTCAGGTCACTAGGCCCAATAAGGGAAAGGGAACCGAGAGCCTGGCATGCTAACAAAAGGGTAAGAATTTTTTGCCAGTCAGACTTCTGGCCTCTCTTTCTCTGTGCAAACTGGTTAAATAAATGGTAAAAAAACACTGTTTTTCTCCTCTGTAGAATTTTGATTAGTGGAAAAAAGCATTTGTGATGCTAGTCTTAAGCTGTGGTGAATCTGGTGTGCTTTGTGTGTCTTCCTTTATTGTTCTGTCATAAAGAGTGGTACCTTAGGATAGAATGTGGGCCTAGGACACATGTAAGCTTGTTGATTAAGATGGCCCAGCAAACTGGTCAGTCATGTCTTTGGGAGCATGACCTTGTGACCACGTGGCAGTACTTTCTCTTGGTCTCCACCACCACAGTGGTCGCCCAAGTTAAGGGTTCAATTCCTGTCTTAGGGAATGAGACCTTTCTGGTTTGATACCTGTGTGACCCTTACCATTTGTTTATTCTCTTCCCCTCAACAATCTGTCTTGAACTTTTATTTCTCTGAGCACAGAAATAAATACCATTTGGCCTGGCTAAAGTAGGGTAATAAGAAATTTAAAAAGACTTTTATAAAGAGTGCTATAGCTAAAAGTCAGTTTAATTAAAACCAGATATTCAAGCTCTCACAGACTTGGACTCCTTGGGAAAAACAGAGGAGGCATCACAGACCCAGTTTTGGGGGAAAAAAACAGCACCTCTGTTTTCCTCATGAAACTCCAGGAATTGGAAGTGGATAGATTCCTTTCAAAATCTAAGGCTTTGTTCTGTTTTGCATTGCATTATCTGACCTTTTTTGAGTTTTGTGAGTATCAGAAATTACTTCAAATTATGAGAGAACTTTGGTGTGTGGTAACTAGGTAGGAAATATAGTTTTGGGGATTGCTAATGGCAGTTATGGGGAGATACTCAGCTCTGTGCACATTTGGATCAGAGAAGCATGCTCTTGACTACCAGAAAAGTATGGAAATGTCCCCACCCCACAATGAGATATAAGGCTCCCATGGGAGATGGTCTGATTCCCTCTTTTTGGGATCCAGAATCTGGTATAACTACAGGACCCTTAATTTCTAGAGATCAGTTTTGCCTTCCAGTTGTGCCTGCCTATTAGGCTGCAGAAACTGCGTGCTTTCCTGCCCCTGTTCCTCCAAAGGTTCCACCCTGAAGCCAAAAATCCAATTAGGAAGCTGGCAAATGAAAACTCTTACAAGTACTGGATCTTCTTCTGTATCTGTATTTATATGTGTTGTGTGTGTGATATAAAAAACTTTAATTCATTTAAAAATAGTGTTTAAATCACATATTTTATCAGAAAATTAAAAAGTGCAATGCTTTTTAGTTCATAGGACTTAAATAATCTTTGAGAAATAGAGACAGCTTTAAAGATTATTGGTAAAATAAAGATATTTCGTCTAAATCAGGTAGGCAAGATATTAAGTTTACTAAATGCTTTAAGGTCATATACTGCTTCTTTGACTTTTGAAAATTGTTCACTTTACCTACTTTGAAGCATTAGATTCTTGATAAGACATGGAGACATGTGGAGCACCATGCACCCCAGCTGTGCCGGAAAGATTAAGCCCTTATCTGCACTTCTGTCTGATGTCCTAAGCTCCACACTTGATACATAATTACAATCGCCTACTAACCAAGTTTTTCACCAAAAGCAAAAGTTCCTAAGAGTTAACAGTGTAACATGTATTTGAGGCTACTAAAGAAACAGTTCTACATGCAAGGCATATAAGGAATGTAGAATATACGTTTGGTAAAAGATTATAAGAAGGCATGGGAGTGTGGATTTCTTGCTTAAGTTTAGAGGGTTAAATTATTGTTTCAAGTTAGAATTTTGTAAAATAAATTCTATGTCTGAACATACTGGCTAAATTTAAAGGGGTATACAGTTTTCCTGTAAATTGAACATTTATTGAACAATTGAATGAAAATAAAAGCACAACAGGTTTTTCTTACCACTGATCTGCTTTTTAATGAAAACTTGCAAAGTGTTACAAAAGGCTTATGAGAATCTTACCTTATGGTCAAACATTAAAATTGGTTAGAAATGTCTATAAGGTTTTATTAAGGATAGGGTTTAACATTAATAGTACATTAATGTAAAAATGACATTTGACTTATTTGGTATAAAAATCATACAGAAAGCATTGTCAAATATGAAATGGTGTTTGGCTTTCTTTGGGCTGTATGTGTATAAATGTGCCATTGGTATGTGTTCCAAAATTATGAGGAACTCCCATAATTCTATTATGGCTTAGTGTGTTATTAATAGTTATAATTGTTACATGAAATTGTTGTATGCCACAGAAGTAACCAAAATTCCTAGTCAATTGTGGTTTTAATAGAGGCTGCCCTAAGGCATTTTATCATCCACAGACAATTGTTGTTTTGTATTAGTCCTCTTTAGAAGGTGGTTTTTATAATCAACTATAGGACTTTAACAGGTACTCTTGAATGCAGGTTTCTGATAGCTTTGGAGATTGTAACATCAGAATAGAGGAAAAACTTCCAGGACTCTCATGGAGAGCTGAAATATTCATGAATATCAAGAAGAACAGGAGTTAACCACATGAACTGGACTAATAAAAGATGGAAGTAATTATTTTTTGACTTTGCTTAAAAACATTGCCCATCCTTTGTTTTGTTTTCAGAGTCAAGGAAACTTTTCATTTGAGTTGTCTACAGATTTTAACAATTGTGTAAAGTGTACTCCTGTGAGTAACATTTACAGCATATTTGTTTCTCTCTACCTGATTTCTCCAAAATTTGGAAACTATTTGTATCTTAAATTGTGGCAATATATTTATTTGCATAAGTTCCATAAGAATGTTTTATTTTGCAACAGGACACAAGTGGATAAATTGTTTATTTTACAAGGCTTTGACTAGAATGGCATGCTTTCTTTTAAGGAATCAAATTTGACATGGAGAGCCAATAGAAGCCCCTTGGGAAAACTGGCCTCATACCTTGTCTATAGAGTTCCTATACGGGGTTCCTGACCTGGGATAAGTAAAGAATATTACTTTCTGACAGGCCCAGGAGCCCCAAGTTATCTTGGGACCTCAAGAGGAGAGGAATTTACCCAACTCATAGGTATTTGACAGTACAACCCCATCACTGGGCTCAGTTTTAAAAGAAAAATGTCTTGTATGAGATTTCTTATGGAACAGAGTTCAATCAAAGTCAATTTAGAAAGCCTATGTGAAAAATAGTTATTCTTGCTCCACTTTATTCAAATAATCAGGCCAAGTTTAATAAAGCAAGCCAGTCTTACTATGATTTATTTTTAGTGAAAATGGGAGACTGGAGAAATAAACTATATTTCAAGAACTATGGTACACTCATTATTAGATTCTAGTCTCATCAGATGTGGAATATATTTGCTATTGTACTCTTTGTGTAGGAATGAAGGGTAAGCTTACTCAATATTTTCTTAAATTGAATACTTAATAAATTATAAGCTTTTGTAGGAACTCAGAGGTATGAATGACCTTCACCATACTGACACTTTATGACTGGGCTCCTCTCTACCTGTAATACAAGAGACCCCAATAGCTAGGCAGGAATAATATCACCCCTATTCAGCCTGAAGAAGTTACAGAAGATGGATCTTTGCTCCTCTACAACTCTTAGGATTAAGGGATCTCTTATAAAAGAGATGGGGAAAATGTCAGAGGTGTTGGAACCAGAGCAACTCCATCTTAAATAGGGGCTGGATAAAATAAGGCTGAGGCATACTGGGCTGTATTCCCAGATGGTTAGGCCTTCTAAGTCACAGAATGAGATAGGAGGTTGGCACAAGATACAGGTCATAAAAACCTTGCTGATAAAACTGGTTTCAGTAAAGAAGCTGGCTAAAACCCAGCAAAACCAAGATGGTAATGAGAATGACCTCTGGTTGTCCTCACTGCTACACTCTCATCAGTGCCATAACAATTTATAAATGCCATGGCAATGTGAGGAAGTTACCCTATATGGTCTAAAAAGGGGAGGAACCTCAGCTCTGGGAATTGCCCACCGCTTTCCTGGAAAACTAATGAATACTAAAAATGGGCAACCATTTTTATGGTTATTTCTTGATTAGTCATTCTTTTATTCCTTTACTTTCTTAATAAACTTGTTTTCACTTTGCTTTATGGACTCGCCTCAAATTCTTTCTTCTGTGAAATCCAAGAGACCTCTCTTGAGGTCTGGATTGGGACCCCTTTCCAGTTATACTACCAGTTCTAGCCTACTAGAAACGGTAAAAAATCAGAAAGAACAGATATGATAAAGGGTCAGAGACTTGATTCTATAAAAATTAATAAAGAACACAGTAAATGGATTAAATAAAAGTAAAATTAAATGGGTTATTTTAATTTTAATTGCTCTAAAAGATAACACAAAAATAGAAGTATTTTTGTGTTATTAGCATATACAAAACTAAAATATATTACAAAAATATCACCAAGAATGTGAGGGAAGAATTGAACAAATACTGTAATAAGTTTCTTCACAATAAAAAAAAAATTCAAAATCAACAAATTTTTGCTCTGTCATCAGAGAACTGAGGTCATAGGACAAACGGCTGCCCTGAACACTGGAGAGACAGACAGCTTACTGGACAAAAGTTTAGGAGCAGAAGCCCACAATTGGATTTAGTATTGGTTAGAACACTTTAACTTTAATTGACATATTGCTGGAGGTTAAGTGTAGACAGACTTGACAGGAGGCCCAGTGGGTATAATCAAATTCAACTTTATGAAATTTTGCCACATTTCTCCCTAAAATAGTTATACCTCTATATATCTGTACCCTATGTGTCTGAGAATACACAAGACTCTACATTGCTGCTAACACTTTGTACTGTCAAACTTTGTTTTGCTATGTTCATAATAAACAAGACATGGTAACAGTGTGATTTTGAGTTTTCCTGATTATAAATGAGATTGAGAATTCATCCATATTTTTCAGTCATGTAAGTGACTTGTGTGAATTGACTGCCTATATCCTTCACTTATTTTTCATTTTTTAAAATACGTTGATTTGTAGAAGTTGTTTATATGTTCCAGAAACTAATCACTTCATGTTTATATGCACTGAAACTACATTCCCTAACTGTCATTAGTTTATTGTTAAATTGTGGAAATAGTGTCATTATACAAACTTTTTTAATACTCAAATTTATCAGTACAATTATCAGTCTTTTCCTTTATGCTTGTACTTTCTTCATGTCAGGAAATTTTGACTTAAACTAATTCAACAAAATACTTACCAAAATGTTCTTAAAATATTTTTAAGTTTTGCCTTTCACATTTAGGTCTGTGATCTTTTTGCTAATCACTGATTTGTTATTTCTTTTGGTTTCTGTTTGTTTTTATGCTACAATTAAAGGCTCAGTTATTTTCCCATTTAGAGAATCTGTAGTCCCAATACCAGTTTTAAAAAATTTTTCTTGTCTATTTAAAAAATATATTATATGTTGACAAATTACAGTTGTATACATTTACAAAGTACAAAGTGGTATTACAATTTTTAATACAATGTGAAAAATTAAACTACTTAGCATATATATAACCACAGATATTTAATATTTTTTTGTGATGAGAATGTTAAACATTTACTCTTTTAGTGATACTGAAATCACTCTTTTAGTGATACTTAGTGCACTGGGGTGAACATGGCTCACTTCAGTCTAGACCTTCCAGGCTCAAGTGATCCTCCTACCTCAGCTTCCAGAGTAGCTGGGACCCCAGATGTGCACCACATTTCCTGGTTGTTAAAAATATATATAAGTATGTATTTTGTAGAGACAGGGTCTCTCTATGTTGCCCAGGCTACTCTCGAACTACTGGGCTTAAGTGATTCTCCTGCCTCTGCCCCTCAAAGTGTTGGGATTACACACATGAGTCATCATACCAAGCCTTGCTAATTTATTAATCATATTATTGTTTTATGTCATCAAAACATTGAGTTGTTGTAAATAAAATAGAAGTAATGCCTTAGTTTTCTTCTTTTGAAAAATATTATTTTTTCATGTGATTAAGGAATATTAGTGTTTATTTCTGTGTATCCTGTATGCATTTATAATTCTCTCTTTGCACAATTTATATGTCTTGACTTTTTAAATGTTGTTGTTTTCTTAATTTGTATAAGCTCTTTCTATATCAGGAATATTACATATTGTTTGTGATATAAAAATTATAACTTTTCCAATTTGACTTTCCATTGGTTATTTCACCTATTTTTTTATTTTTAGATAATAGAATTTATTAAAAGCAAGCAAAAAGTAGTGAATAATAAACATGAGAAGAGAAATAAATACAATAAAGACTAGGAAAATAATAGACACAAAACAGTACAACCAAAATTTGCTTATTTGAAAACATTAACAAATTGGCAACTATGGCTAGACTTACTAAAAATAAAAATACAGATGACTCAAATGAGTTAAATTTAGAATAAAAGAGGGATATTTTTACAGACATTACAGAAACAAAGATGATTATAAGAAATAACATGAACAACTGTATGAAAGCAATTTAGATACCTTAGATGAAATAGATGACCACAAATACAAAACTTCTAAAACCCCCTTAAGAAGAAACAGAAAATATATTCCAACCGGTAACAATAAAGCTTTTATAACGGTAATTTTAAAAGTTCCCGTAAATAAGAGTTGAGGACTAAGTGCCCTTATTGTTTAATTTTACCAAAAGCTTAAGTAATCAACACCAATCTTAAAGAAATATTTACAATAAAATAAAAGAGAAAAAATATTTAACCCATTATATATGGCCTGATTAAAAAAAAATACGTCATCTCAAGAAAAGAAAAACAACTACATACCAATATTTCTTAGCAATATATGTGCAATAATCTTCAAGAAAATATAAGCAAACCAAATCCGACAACTTATAAAAAAGATTAGAGGCCATTGGCATAGGCACAAGCAGGAATGCTACAGCCCCACTCCTGCCAGTATGCCATGCCAGCCCATGCGTGTGCACCCCGCCACACTGCTGCAGCTGCTGGCACACACAAGCAAGCATGGATCCCACTGCCACTATGCCAACAAAATGCTTTAGCCAGCACTGCCAATGAAAGTGTTGTAGCTAGTGGACTGGGAACATATTGGACCCTGCAGCACATGAGGTTTTTAAACTCAAGGGGCCACAGAACAAAGCAAGCGGCCATATATCAGCCCCCCCTCAGAGTTAGGGGACACAGTCTAAGAGTTGAGACTTATCCCCTTAAAATCTTCCAGAAATGAAGCTAGTTGATTGAACCTACTTTATACCACAATCAAACCCCCAAAGGCATCAAAGAAGATAAAAGTAAAAACCCCATCCAAAGGAAGACAACTTCAAAGACTGAAGGAACATCAAAACAATGAAAAGAAATAACCAGCACAAGAACTCTGGTAACCCCAAAAGACACAGTGTCCTATTTTCTCCAAACAAACCCACTAGTTCCTCAGCAGTGTTTCCTAACCAGGCTGAAATGGCTGAAATGACAGAAATATAATTCAGAAAATGGATAGGAATGAAGATCATTGAGATTTGGGAAAATCTGAAACCCAATCCAAGGAATCTAAGGATACGACAAAACAATGAGCTCAAAGACAAAATGATCATTTTAAGAAGAAAACTAAACTCATCTAACAGAGCTGAAAAACTCATTTCAAATATTTCATAATACAATCTCTAGTATGAACAGTAGAATCAACCAAGGTGAGGGACAAATCTCAGAGCATGAAGACCAGGTCTTTGAAAACACTCAGATAAAAGTAAAGAGAAAAGAGTAAAGAAGACTGAAAAAATTTCTGAGAAAAACAGGATTATGTAAAGAGACCAAATTTATGCTCATTTACATCCCTGAAACAAGAAGCAAAAACAAGTAACTTGGAAAAGTTATTTGAAAATATCATCAATAAAAATTTCCCCAGTTTTGCTAGAGAAGCCAATATTAAAATTCAAGAAGTGCAGAGACCCCCTGGAAGATACTATACAAGACAACTATCCCTAACACACATTGTTATCAGATTCTTCAAGTTTGAAAAAAAGAAAAAATGATAAAGGCAGCAAGAGGGCAGGAGCAGGTCACCTATAGATGGTATCCCATCAGGCTGATAGTGGACCTTTCAGCAGAAACACTGCAAGCCAGAAGACATTGGTGGCCTATATACATTATTCATAAAGGAAATAAATTTCAATCACAAATTTTATTCCTGCCAAAATAAGCCTAATACACGAAGGAGAAATAAGATCATTTTCAGAAAAACAAATGCTAATGAAATTCATTACAAACAGTTCTGCTTTACAAGAAGTCCTTAAGGGAGTGCTAAATATGGAAAGACCATTACCAGCTACCAGAAAAAGACATGTAAGTACATGAATCATTGACATATAAAGCAAGTACACGATCAACTCTGCATATTAGCCAGCTAGGAACAAGATGACAGAATTAAATCTGTACATATCAAGATTAACCTTGAATGTAAATGAGCTAAATGCCCCAAATAAAAGGCACAGAGTGGCAAGTTGCATAAAAAAGGAAGACCCAATGGTATCCTGTCTTCAAAAGATCTCTCTCATATGCAGTTACACCCATAGGTTCAAAGAGAATGGATGCAGAAAAGCCTGGCAAGTAAACAGAAAACAGAAAAAAGCTAGGATTGCTATTCTAATTTCAGACAAAACAGACTTTAAACCAACAAATATCAAAAATGACAAACAAAGGCATTACATAATTGTAAAGTATTTAATTCAACAAGAAGATATTACTATCTTAAGAATATATGCACCCAAAACAGGAGCACAGAGCTTTACATACTTAGTACTTTACAACTTATAAGGAGACTTAGATTACCACACAATAATAGTGGAAACTTTAGTAATCCAGAGACAGTATTAGACAGATCATTGAGGCAGAAAAATAACAAAGATATTTGAGACCCGAACTCAACACTTGACCAAATAGACATCCACAGAACTCTCCACCCCAAAACAACAGAACATACACTCTTCTCATCTGCACATAGCACATACTCTAAAATGGAGCACAAAATCAGTCATAAAAAATTCTCAACAAATTATAAAACAAAATTATACCAACCACACTCAGACCACAGCACAGTAAAAATACAAATCAATACTAAGAAAATTCAAATCAATACTAAGAAAGCTCAAAACTGTACAATTACATGGAAATTAAACAACATGCTCCTGATTTACTTTTTGATAACTTTTTGGTAAATATTGAAATTAAGGCAGGAATCAAGAAATTCTTTGAAACTAATGAGAACAAAGGTACAACATATCAGAATCTCTGATACATAGATAATGTTAAGAGGGAATTTTACATTGCTAAATGCACATATCAAAAAGTTAGAAAAATCTCAAATTAACAATTTAACATCACAACTAGAAGAACTAGAAAAAGCAGAGCAAACCAACTCCAAAGGTAGCAGAAGACAAGACATAACCAAAGTTAAGAACCGAACTGAAGGAAATTCAGACACAAGAAACCATACAAAAGATCAACAAATCTAGGTGTTGATTATTTCAAAATAATAGATTGATAGACCACTGAATACACTAATAAAAAGTATATGATATAAATAAATAAAATCAGAAATGACAAACGGGATGTTACCACAGCCCCCAAAAATACAAAATTCCTCAGAGATTGCTTTGAACACCTCTACGCACCAAGCTAAAACACTTTAAAAAAAATAAATTCCTAGAAACATAGCACATCTCTATACTAAACTACAAAAGTATTGAATCTCTGAACAGACCAATTATAAGTTCCAAAATTGAATGAATAATAGAAAGCCTACCAACCAAAAGAAGCTGAGGACCAGATGGATTCACAGCTTAATTTCTACAAGTATAAAGAAAGGCTGGTACCATTCCTACTGACACTAATCTAAAATATTGAGGAGGAGGGACTCCTACCTAACACATTCTAGGAGGCCAGCATCACTCTAATATCAAAACCTGATAAATACACAAAAAGAAAGCTTTAGACTAATATATTTGATAAACAGAGATGGAAAAATCCTCAACAAAGTACGAGCAAACCAAATTTAGTAGCACATCGAAGAGCTAATCCATCATTATCAAGTAGGCTTTATCCCTAGGGTGAAAGATTGTTTCAACATAGGAAAATCAATAAATTTAATTCATTACATAAAAGGAACTAAAAACAAAACCAACACAATTATCTCAATAGATGCAGAAAAGGGTTTTGATAAAATTTAACATCTGTTCATCTTAAAATCCTCAACAAGCAAGGTATTGAGGAAACATACAACAAAAAAGCTTTCTATGGCAAACACATAGTCATCATCATACTGAATGGGCAAATGCTGGGAACATTCCCCTTGAGAACTGGAACAAGACAAAGATGCCCACTCTCACCACTTCTACTCAACATAAGACTGGACTGGATATTTTATGCCAGGCAAGAAAAAGTAATAAAAGATATCCCTATAGCAAGAGAGGAAGTCAAACTATCTTTTTGCACCTAATATGATTCTTTACCTAGAAAATTCCATAGTCTCTTTCCAAGAGCTCCTAAGTCTGAAAAACAACCTTAGAAAATTACCTGGATACAAAATCAATGTGCAGAAATTAGTAGCATTTCTGTACACCAACAACTACTAAAGTGAGAGGCTAATCAAGAACATAATGTCATAAGCAATAGCCAGAAAAAAAAAAAACAATAAAATACCAAGGAATACAGCTAACTAGGGAAGTGAAAATCTACAATAAGAATCATAAAACACTGCTCAAAGTCAGAGATGACACAAACAAATGGAAAACATTTCATGCTCATGGACAGGAAGACTCAATATTGTTGAAATAATCATACTGCCCAAAGCAATTTATGGATTCAATGCTATTCCTTATCAAACTGCCAATGATATTCATTACAGAATTAGAAAACCTTTTGTAAAATGTGTATGGAACCAAAAAGAGCCAGAATAGCCAAAGTAATCCTAAGAAAAATGAAGAAAGTTGGAGAAATCACATTACCCAGCTTCAAACTATAATACAAGGCTACAGTAACCAGAACAGCATGGTACTTGTCGAAAAATAGACACACAGACTAATTGAACAGAATAGAGAACCTAGAAATAAAGCAGAATATCTACAACCATCTGATCTTCAACAAATTTGGCAAAAAAAAAGCAACAGGGAAAACACTCCCTATTTAATAAGTGGTGATGTAATAACTGGCTAGCCATAAGCAGAAGATTGAAACTGGACTCATTCCTTGTGTCATATACAAAAATCAACTCCAGATGAATCAAAGACTTAAATGTAAAACCTAAAACTATAAAATCATTGGAATATAAGTTAGGCAATATCTTGTTCATAGGACCTGGCAAAGATTCATAATAAAGATGGCAAAAGCAATTGCATCAGAAACATAAATTGACAAGTGGGACCTAATTAAGAGCCTCTATATTACAAAATAAACTATCAACACAGTAAACAGACAACCTACCAAATGGGAGAAAATATTTGCAAACTATGTGTCTGCTGATGGTCTAGTAGCCGGAATCTATAAGAAACTAACAAATTAACAAACAAAAAAGAAATAACCCCATTAAAAATGAGCAAAGAACAATAACAGACACTTTTCAAAGAAAACTTACATGCAGCCAACAAGCACATAAAAAATGCTCAACATCACTATTTGTTAGAGAAATGCAAGTCACAACCACAATGAGATACCATCTCACACAAGTCAGTATGGGCATTATTAAAAAGTCAAAAAAATAACAGATGGTGGTGAAGTTGTAGAGAAAAGGGAACACTTATATATAGCCGGTGGGAATGTAAAGCAGTTCAGTCACTGCAGAAAACAGTTGTCAATTTCTTGAAAAACTTGAAATAGAACTACCATTTGACCCAGTGATTATATACCCAATGGAATAGAAATCATTCTACTGTAAAGACACATGCATGCATATATACATCGTGGCATTATTGACAATAACAAGACATGGAATTAAACTAAATGTTCATCAATGGTAAACTGGATTTATTAAAAATGTGGAAAATATACATAATGGAATACTATTCAGCCATAAAAAGAATGAGATTACAGACTTAAACATAAGACCTAAAACCATAAATATCCTAGAAGAAAACTTAGGCTATACCATTCAGGACATAGGCATGGGCAAAGACTTCAAGTCTAAAACACAAAAAGCAATGGCAACAAAAGCCAAAATTGACAAATGGGATCTGATTAAACTAAAGGGCTTCTGCACAGCAAAAGAAACTATCATCAGAGTGAACAGGCAATGCACAGAATGGGAGAAAATTTTTGCAATCGATCCATCTGACAAAGGGCTAATATCCAGAATCTACAAAGAACTTAAATAAATTTACAAGAAGAAAAGAACCCTGTCAAAAAGTGGATGAAGGATGTGAACAGTGACTTTTCAAAAGAAGACATTTATGCAGCCAACAAACATATGAAAAAAAAGCTCATCATCACTGGTCATTAGAGAAATGCAAATCAAAACCACAATGAGATACCATCTCATGTCAGTTAGAATGGTGATCATTACAAAGTCAGGAAACAACAGATGCTGGAGAGGTTGTGGAGAAATAGGAATGCTTTTACACTGTTGGTGGGAGTGTAAATTAGTTCAACCATTGTGGAAGACAGTATGGTGATTCCTCAAGGATCTAGAACCAGAAATACCATTTGACCCAGCATTCCCATTACTGGGTATATACCCAAAGGATTATAAATCATTCTGCTATAAACACACATGCACACGTATGTTTATTGCAGCACTATTCACAATAGCAAAGACTTGGAATCAACCCAAATCTCCATCAGTGATGGACTGGATAAAGAAAATGTGGCACATATACACCATGGAATGCTATGCAGCCATAAAAAAGGATGAGTTCATGTCCTTTACAGGGACATGGATGAAGCTGGAAACCATCATTCTCAGTAAACTAACACAAGAACAGAAAAGCAAACACCACATGTTCTCACACATAAGTAGGAGTTGAACAATGAGAACACATGGACACAGAGAGGGGGAGGGGAACATCACACACTTGGGCCTGTCGGCGGGTGAGGGGCTAGGGAAGGGATAGCATTAGGAGAAATACCTAATGTAGGTGATGGGTTGGTGGGTGTGGCAAACCACCATGGCACGTGTATACGTATGTAACAAAACTGCATGTTCTGCACATGTACCCCAGAAGTTAAAGTATAATAAAAATTATAATAATAATAATGAAAAGAATGAGATCGTGTCCATTGCAACAACAGGGATGGAGCTGGAGAAAATTATCCTAAGCATACTGACACAGGAATAGAAAACCAAATACTGTATATCTTCACTCATAAGTGGAAGCTAAACCCTCAGTACATGTGAACATAAAGAAGGGAACAACAGACACCAGGGCTACTTGAGAATGGAGGAATGAGAGGAGGCTGAGGATTGAAAAAAACACATAGCAGGTACTGTGCTTCTTACCTAGGTAAGAAAATAATGTGTATACCAAACTCCCCAAACAATTTACCTATATAATATATCTACACATGCACCTCTGAACCTAAAATGAAAGCTAAAAAAAAAATTCCAGAATAATTGAAAAATGCAAATAGTTTGCACATCACGAAGTGAGATTTACTTCACTTTTGTGTATTATAGCATTTAATATAATAAAGAACAAATAAATACTTGAACATATGAAGAAGAAAAATTATGACAAAGTTATTCACCCACTCATGATTAAAAACCTTCTAATTCTTAATAGAACTGAACTTCCTCAACCTGATAGAGAACATCTGTAATACACTCGTAACTAGCATAATAATGAATTTTAAAAGAATTAGAGATTTTTCCTAATATCAGGAACAAGATTAAAATGTTTTTTCTCATGGTTCAACACTATTGAGCAGGTTATAGCTATGACAATGAGGCAAGGAAAAATTTTTTTTAAGTATCCAGATTGGAAATGAACAGATAAACCTATATCTGTATGCAGATAAAATGATTTTATACAGAGAAAATTCTTAGAAATAAAATTTAAAAACTGTTAGAACTAATAAATAAGTGTTCTACAAAGTTGCAACACTCATGAATAATATACAAAAATTGTTTTTCTGTAAATAATTCAAAATGAAAAAAAAATTTCATTAAAACAGCATCAAAAAAATAGAACAATTAGAAATTAATTTAACAAAACACATGCAGGACTTGTACATTGAAAAGAACAAAATATTATTAAAAGTAGTTAAGATCTAAATAACTGAAAAGATCTTTCTTGTTTATGGAGTGAAACACAAAATATTGCTAGGCTGGCAGTAGTCTTAAAATAAATCTCAAAAATCAGTGCAATTCCTATAAAAATCTCTACAGATTTTTCTGAAATTGACATAAGTATACATTTTATATGAAGATGTAATTGGCCCAGAATAGCCATAACAATTGGAAAAGGAAAACCAATTGTGAGGACTCACACTTTCTGATTTCGAAACCTACTACAAACCAGCAGTAAGTCAAGACACTATAGTACTGGCATAAAAATAGACATATAGCTCAATTCAACCAGTTAAAAATCTATAAATAAATTCTTCTGTTTTTGTTATACTGATTTTTTTTTACTTTTTTTCTAGCTAGTTTATTGAGGAAACCATAATCTGTTCAATCAGTAGTGCTGGGACAATTAGATATCCACATACTAAACAGGATCCACACCCACTACATGCTACATCAATAACAAAGAATCAGGGAAACAGGATACCACCAAAAGAAAATAAATTTCCAGTAACTGACCTCAAATTAATGGAGATCTATGAATTGTCTGAAATATAATTCATACTAATAAATGTGAAGCCAGGTCCAATGGCTCAAATCAATAATCCCAACACTGTGGGAGGCCAAAATGGGAGAATTGTTTGAGGCCAGTAGTTTGAGACCAGCCTGGGAAACAAAGTGAGACCTCATTTCTACAAGAAATAAAGAAAAGTAACTGAGTGTAGTGGCATGAACTTTTAAGTCCTTGCTACTTGAGGGGCCAAGATAGGAGAATCACTTGAGCCCAGGAGTTTGAGCCTACAGTGAGCTATGATTGCATCACTGCACACCAGCCTGGGTGACTGAGTGAGATCCTGTCTCTAAATAATAGTAGTAATAATAATAATAAATGTCACACAGTACATTAAAAGTATGCAGGATATAAAACGTGGCCATCTTAATAGATGCAGTAAAAGCATTTGACACAATTCCACATCCTGTCATAATAAATATGCTTTGCAATTTATGTATAGAAGAAATGTATTTCAATATAACAAAGGCTGTATACGACAAGCTCACAGCTATCATTATACTCAATGGTTTACTGAAATGCCAGGTGGTTGATCTAGGTCCCATTGCTCACCACACAGAAAGCCAGTCACTGAGGTTAGCATTGCCAGGGAAGAAGGCTTTATTCAGGTGCTGCAGCAGAGGAGATGGGAGATAAGCCTCAAATCCATTCCCTAACCAACTAAAATTGGGGGTTTAAATAGTGAGGAAGAAATGTAGCTATGTGAAGGAAAACAAAAATTAGGGAGGGGTAAGGAAGAGGAGTTGGTCAACAGGAAGCAGGTGGTCAGTTAGGAAAACAGAAATTAAGGAGTTTCAGTATCTTGACACTACTTGTGAGGCCTCAGGATCAGTTTTCTGTGAAAGGAACTCATAAGACAAATGTAAGTTTCAAGCTTTAAGACTAGGATGGCCAGGCATGGTGGCTCAAGCCTGTAATCCCAGAACTTTGGGAGTTCAAGGTGGGCAGATTACCTGAGGTCGGGAGTTCGAGACCAGCCTGAGAAATATGGAGAAATGCCATCTCTACTAAAAATACAAAATTAGCCAGGCCTGGTGGTGCATGCCTGTAATCCCAGCTACTTGGGAGGCTGAGGCAGGAGAATCGCATGAACCCAGGAGGGAGAGATTGCAGTGAGCCAAGATTGCACCACTGCACTCCAGCCTGGGCAACAAAAGCTAAACTCAGTCTCAAAAAAAAAAAAAAAAAAAAAAGAGGACTAGGATAGTGATTGTGTTCTGTGTGGGAAATGCATGAAGGGGAAAGAAAAGACACATACACGATACCTTTAAAGGTAAACAATCTTTATCCTATGCTTTATCCTACGTAAATGGCAATGCAGATATAATAAGAAAATGGTATAATAAGCAAATTATATAATAAGCAAATTGCAATGGGAAGGGGAGAAGGAAATGTATATATAGTTACACTCACTAGACTATGGAGGATTCATCACCAGATCGGGAAGCAATAGCCTGGGATCCAGAGTTGGTCACTCGACCATGCACAGATGAGGAGAGGTCTCATGGAGCTTCTGTGTGGTCTGGGACCCTAGCCCTTTTGTAGTATTCCTTTCTTGGCCTGAGGCCCAGGAATGAGGGCCCTTCATGACTGGGCTCAGGGAACACAGGAAGGTTAGCCTATTCTCTAGATTCTGTTGTTTGCCTTAAGGCAGAAAATGTATCTTACGAAAACAATCAGTATAGGTTACTAGCTCCTGGGCAGATGCCCAGGGGCTGTTTACTGGCACGTAACCATTCTTTGTGTTCAAGTTCAATTGAGTTCAAAGTTAATATTTAACTCTTCCTCCACAGATGGTCAATTTCTATGTTTATAAAAAAAAGTAAACATTAATTTCATGGGGAAATTGGGTCAATTTCAAATGGAGAAAAGCTTAAAACCATTATGAAAAACAGTATGGAGTTTCTTAAAAATGTTAAAACTAGAGCTACCACATAATGCACCAACTCTACTTCTGCATATCAGTCCCAAAGAAATAAAATGAAGTTTTCAAAGTGATATTTGCACTCCCATGTTCATTGCAGCATTACTAACAGTAGCCAGGTTATGGAATCAACCTAAATGTCCATCAAGGGATGATAAATAAAGAATAATGTGTCATATATAAAAAATGGAATACTATTCAGACTTTAAAAAAGGAAATCCTCTCATCTGTGACAACGTGGATATACCTGGAGGACATGATGTTAAGTGAAATAAGTCAAGCACAGAAAGACAAATAGTGCATGATCTCATTTATATGTGAAATCTAAAATAAACTAATAGAAGCAGAGAGTCAAATGGTGGTTACCATGAGTTAGGTGTTGGGAGGGGGTGAGAGTGGGAGATGTTTGTCAAATGATACAAAATTTTAGTTAGCAGGAGAAATAAGTTCAATGTATTCCACAAAAATGGTGACCATAGTTGAGAGTAGATTTTAAATGGTTGCATTCTCCAAATATGGTAAGTAAGTAAGTGATATAATAGATATACTAACTAGCTTTATTTAGCCATTCTGCAGTGTGAACATATTTCAAAGTATCATGTTTTATGCCACAAATATCTACCGATTTTAGTAATTAAATTTTAAAAATAGTAATCTCCCCCTCCCCCCCAAAAAAAGAAAAAAAGGTACAAAAAAGTCCTGGGAAGAATGTTTATGAAACACTACTTAAAGACTTTTATTCATAATTTACAAGAAATGTTTACAACTGAATATTAAGAAACGAACAACCTAATCAAAAAATGGGCAAAAGATTCAAATAGACAGTTTACCAAAGTTGATGCACAAATGGCTAATAAACACATTAAAAATATCTATATCACAATTCATTTGGCAATACGGATTAAAACCCAAATGAGATATTATTTCACATTCATTACAATGGCTTTAATCAGTAACAGGACATAATGCATACTGGTGAGAGTGTGGAGAAGAAGGTCTTCATATATTATTGACAGGACTGTAAATGTTACAGCCACTCTGCAAACTATTTTACTTCTTAAGAAATTAAACATAAAACTACCATAATACTCAGCAATTATTTTCCTATCTAGAAAAATAAAGACATATATTTACACAAATACTTGTATATGCATGTCCATAGCAGCATTAATTCATAATTTTTCAAAACTAGAAACAACTCAAATGCTCATCAACCATTGAGCAGACAGCCAAATGACTTATAGTCACACAATTGAATGCTGTTCAGCAGTAAAAACAGAACAAATATTGATGCATGCTACATCATGGAATAATTTTAAAAACATTACACCGAGCAAGAGAAGCCAGATTCGAGAGCTCACATGTTGTAAGATTCCATTTATATGAAATATCTAGGAAAGACATTTACAAAAACAGATTAGTGTTTGCCTGTGTGTGGGGATAGGAATAGGGATTAATTGAAAATGAACAAGAGAAATCTTATTCAGTGGATAAAAATGTTCTAAACAGATTTATGATGGTGGTTTTATGACTCAGTAAAGCGGCTAAAATCTTTCAAATACATATTTAAAACTAATGAATTTTATAATTTCTAAAATGAAGCTCAATAAAACTGTTAAAATGAAATTAAACCTCATGCAATGAGTGTACATTTGTCCAATCTTGCTTTGTACATTTTGCGGCTATATTATGTGGTATATATAAATACCTTCTTGGGGTCTAACCCTTCTTCCATGACAAAATCTTTCTCTTTCTCTAGTAATGTTGCTTCTATAAAGTGTACTTTTACTAAAATTACTATAGTAATAATTTCATAGTATGATTTTTTGTTCTTTTGCTTTCAAAATTTGTTTCTCCATATTTAAAGTGAGCCTGTTGTGTGCAGCATATAGTTGGATATTTAAAAAAATATAACATGCTATTATTTGCCTTTAATTGAATTTGTTAGACAATTTATTATGTATCATAACTACTGATATACTTGGCGTTACATCTACCATCTTACTACTCATTTCCTATTTGTCCTACATGTGTTATATTCTCTTTTCCCCCTCCTTTGTTTTATTAATTTCAACTGTTTTATTTTCCACATTTTCTTTGTATCAGCTTTCCAATCTTATATTCTTTTTACTATTCTTCTGGTAGTTATCCTAGTAATTACAATAATTATTGTTATTAATACCATAAAAATATATTAATGTATTTACCAATTTCCAAACAGCAAAAGGACCTTAGAATTCCTTTAATATACCTAATCACCTCTCTCCTTTTGTAATACTGTAGTCAGTATTTAAATTTTTACATATTTTAAATTGTGTATGACAGATTTAACATTTGTACTCAGATCTGCTGGCTGAGTGTTAAACCATCATTGTAGTTCTTTTCTTTTGAAGCTGAGGACTTGTTGTCAATAATGATATTCAAGACCCTTAAGATCCCCAGAATTATTTTTTCCCTCTCTCCACTGGCTTCTGCCCACCTACTGATCCTTGTACTTTTATTGCAGTCATTAGTAGTTGATTAACTCATATTCCAGAATTCCTGGTATTTTACCAGTGTTATTAAAGGTGATATGCAAAGTTGCTTTTATGTATTTGTTTTTTGGTTTTGGTTTGTTTGTTACATTACTTGCTCAGATTGTTTGTGAGGACTTTAGAGATTTAAAAATCAACAATATTATCATCACTTTGCCGAAACCAGATAGGTTAAAAATGTTTTTTTTTCACTTTTAATTTTATTGTAATAACCCACATAATCTAAGAGAAAAGCAAAAAAAAAAAAGCAATACAAAATATTATATAGCTATATGCCTTTATTCAAGTAAGATTAAGATGTAGTATAATGAAACCAATATCCTTTGAAAGATCTTTTTGTTAATGCTTTATTATGTTAGTTTTTGCCACTTAAATTTATTTGTAAAAGTATTACTTCTCTTATGCTCTTGCAAATGCCTAATTGATGATTATATAAAATATATCCAGTAATAATGAATATTTAATGTATCAATATCTAAATTGAATTTGAAGTTTATGCTAATCTTAGTTCCAACACCTTTGATAACTTCACAGCAGGATAGCTTCCTACAAATTAATTGAGTTCATACTAAGCTAAGAAGATATTTTGCCATAAACCAAGAAGTTGTTGTTGTCTTCAGGTGTAAGAGTCAACTTTCTAAAGAAAAGGTAATAATAAATTGATAGAAATCTCATCATAGTCTTCTAAGTTTACCATCATAAAATTTAAAAGAGACATAGTATTTTCACATTTTATTTAGTAATACACTTACATTTATCACCATCAACATGTTCTGAGATTAAAAAACAAAATTTAATGTGTGGGAAGCTACTCCACAGTTATGGATCTATTCAAGAGCTAAGTCAAAATATTTATTTTCTAACTTATAAACTGTCCTATAATTGCATATTTTCTTATGATGTATTTTATAGAAAAAGTAGATATAAGGTACTGCCATTAATTTTTATTGGTTGAGCTCTAAATTCCATTGCTATATGCTTGACAAAAACAGTTTGAAACAAGAACTTACCTAGATACGAGAAATAAATAAATCTTTGAATGCATTGCTCTCTATACCAAATATGTTGCAAAAATCTGTGTTTGTCATTTTATACTGATTCTTGATAGATAGCATATGCATTCAAGTTCAGAGCAATGCCATTTTATTTATGTCCCAAGGTACTCAACTGGTTAATTAAAAAACAAGTAATTGCCGAAATCACTAAGTGACACAGATATGGTTTGGATCTGTGTTCCTGCCCAAATCTCATGTCGAATTGTATTTCCAAATATTGGAGGTGGTGCCTAGGGGAAGGTAATTAAATCGTGGAGGCAGATTTCTCCCTTGATTTTGTTCTCATGAGATCTGGTCATTTGAAAGTGCATAGTTCCTCTCCACTCTCTTCTCCCTTGCTACTGCTCCAGCCACATAAGACATACTTGCTTGCCCTTCACCTTCTGTGATGACTGTAAAGGCCTCTCCAGAAGCCAAACAAATGCCAGCATCATGCTTCCTATACAGCCTGCAGAAACTTTAGCCAACTAAACCTCTTTTCTTTATAAATTACCAGGGTTCAGATTTTTTTTATAACAGGACAAGAATGGACTTATAGAAAACTGATACCAAGGAGTGAGGCATTTCTAAAGACATACCTGAACATATGGAAGCAATTTTGAAACTAGGTAATGGGAAGAGGTTGGAAGAGTTTGGAGGGCTCAGATGAAGACAGGAAAATAGGGGAAATTGTGGAACTTCCTAGAGACTGGTTGAATGATCAAGGCCAAAATGCTGGTAGTGATAAAAATGGTGAAGGCCTGGCAGAGGAAGACAAAGATGGAGATTAGGAACTTATTGTAAACTAATGCAGAGTTCACTTTTGTTATGCTTTAGAAAAGAGCTTGGTTAAATTGTGTGCCTGCCCTAGGGATTTGTGGAACTTTGAAGTTTAGAGAGATGATTTAGGGTATACGGCAGAAAAAATTTCTGAGCATCAAAGCAAGATGTGACCTGACTACTTCTAACACCCTATGCACATATGCATGAGCAAAGAAATGTTCTGAAACTGGAACTTATATTTAAAAGGGAAGCAGAGTGTAAAAATTTGGAAAATTTGTAACCTAGCCATGTAGTAGAAAAGAAAAGCCCATTTTCAGGGGAGAAATTCATGCAGAAATATGCATAACTAAAAACAAAAAAAAGGGCAAGTGCTAATATCCAAGACAATGGGGAGAAGGCCTTCAAGGCATTTCAGAGACCTTCCCAGCAGCCCCTCCCAGCATAGGCCCAGAGGTCTAAGAGGAAAGAAAGGTTTCATGAACCAGGCCCAGGGCCCCACTGCAATGCACATACTTGGGCCACTGTTCACTATATTGCAGCTCCTCCAGCTCCAGCTATAGGTAAAACGCACCCAAGTAGAGCTCAGGTTTCTGCTTCAGAGGGTGCAAGCCCTAAGCCTTGGCAGCTTTCAGGTGGTGTTAAGCCTGTGGGTGCACCAAATGCAGGAGGTGAGACTTAGGAGCCTCTGCCTAGATTTCAGATGATATATAGAAAAGCCTGGATGTCTAGGAGGAAGCCTGCTGCAGGGGCAGGGTCCTAATGGAGAACCTCTACTAGGGCAGTGCAGAGGAAAAATGTGAGGTTGGAGCCCCCACACAGAGTCTTCACTGGGGCACTGCCTAGTGGAAGTGCAAGAGGAAGGCCTCCATCCTCCAGACCCCAGAATGATAGATCTACCAGCAGCTTTCACTGTGTGTCTGGAAAAGCCACAGGCACTCAACGCCAGCCTATGAGAGCAGCTATGTGGGCTGAGCCCTGCAAAGTGACGGGGGCAGAGCTCCCCAAGCCTTTGGGAGCCCACCCCTTGCACCGAGTTGCCCTGGATATGGGACATGGAGTCAAAGGAGATTCTTTTGGAGCTTGAAGATTTAATGACTGTCCTGCTGGGCTTTGGACATGCATGGGGCCTGTAGTCCCTCTTTTTGTCTGATTTCTCCCTTCTGAAATGGGAATGTTTACCCAATGTCTGTACTAACATTGTATCTTAGAAGTGACTAAGTTATTTTTTATTTTATATGCTCACAGGTGGAAGAGACTTGCCTTATCTCAGATGAGACTTTGGACTTTGCACTTTTGAGTTAAATATGACTATATTTTAGCTTATTCTAATAAATTAGAGGACAAATTAGCCAGAGAGGATCACCAGCAGAGATGCAAGACAACAATACTCAAGAAACTATTTTAGAAAAAATATATATATCAATGAAGACCAAAAATTGCTGCTCTGCAACAGGGAGGAAAACTTTTAGGAACTTGAGGAGATTTACCACTATGACAGAATACACAAGGAAAATGCACATAAGGCTGGAGGCGGTGTCTCACGCCTGTAATCCCAGAACTTTGGGAGGCCAAGGTAGGAAGATCACCTGAGGTTCGGAGGTTGAGACCAGCCTGACCAACATGGAGAAACCCCATCTGTACTAAAAAAAAATACAAAATTAGTCAGGCGTGGTGGCACATGCCTGTAATCCCAGCTACTCAGGAGGCTGAGGCAGAAGAAACGCTTGAACCTAGAAGGCGGAGGTTTCAGTGAGCTGAGATTGTGCCATTGCACTCCAGCCTGGGCAACAAGTGCAAAACTCCATTTCAAAAAAAGGAAAATGGAAATAAACTTCTGGGCACAGTGGCTCATGTCTGTAATCCCAGTGCTTTGAGAGGCCAAGGCAGGTTAATTGCTTGAGTCCAGGAGTCCACGGCCAGCTTTAACAATATAGTAAAACCTTGTCTCTACAAAAAAACTACAAAAATTATCCAGGAGTGGTTGGTTGTTCATGCCTGTTGTCCCAGCTACCTATTAGGCTGAGGTGGGAGGATTGCTTGAGCCTGGGAGGTGGAGGTAGCAGTGAGCCAAGACCATGCCACTATAGTCCAGCCTAGGCAAAAGAGTGAAGCCCTGTCTCAAAAAAAAAGAAGAAAGAAAATGCAAATAACCTTGTATAAAAGGAATGAAAGTATGTGTTTGATTTGCAAAAAGTTATAAAATGTGAATATCATATTTTATGATAACCCAGGGGTCCAAACATACATATAAAAATAATGTTAACTTTTACAGAATGATTAAATTTAACACCAACAAATGTAGGAATGAAAAGGAGAATCCAGAGGGTAACTCATTCCATTAAAATCATACATGGGGTGATGTTCATTTAGATAGGAAATTACAAAAGAAGAAATTTCAGCTTCCACATTAAGGTGTTATGTGTTTTACATTTGAAATATGTATTATTTAATAATTAGTTTAATATATAGTTAACTTTATTGTAAACGTTCTGTATACCAATCCTAAATTACAAATAATTACAACAGCACTGGATGTTGGAAGTTAATATGTTGGCAAAAATACCACTCCACAAGATGCAATGTCTGGAGAGTTCATAAAAATACATGCAAGCATGGCTCAAATGTAACCAAATTCTAAATTGTGAAGTGCACACTAAGCATCAAGAAGTTCATAAATGAGAGCCATACAATCAGGAAATGCCCAGGCAACACTTTCTCTACCTTTTGTAAAATTTCATATTTGAGACAGCTTGTTAGTTCTTTTTTTCTTTTGTCCATTTCTACTTTACAATGCCCCAACTCCTAATTCTTATAGGTTTCACAATGAATGCTCAACTATGTTTTTAAGATGTTTTCTAGGTGCAAAAATGATTCACTTATATATTTTGAGCAAATAAAATATAAAATAAGGCAACAAACATCTACACAAAGACATAATTGCAGATATGCATAGACACACTAATGAATGGTACTCATTGATTTTATGAAGTATTGACTTCGATCAATAAAAGATGCCAATGCTACTTGTGTCTTCTCTCTTTTTTTTGCTGAAATGGATAGATAAATACATGTGCGGATCATTGGATAGCTTACAAAAATTACAATATATAATAAATATATTAAAATATTAGAATTTAAATTTATTAGATGAAGGTTGATTTATTTCAAAAATGTTGATAGCAAACCTAGATATAATCTATGTTACAATTATAAATTTGAATGCCTAATTATAATTATATAAAAATGTAAATTTCAGATTACTTTTTTTACAGAAAAATTATAAAAATAATATTTCAGAGGTGATCTTAGAATAGTATATGATATAGATTAAAGTCAAACAGCCTACCCACAAACCATAAATTTTATATATATACTTAAAGGGTATATACTAATAGTTACTTTTTACCAAGCTTATAGTAAAATACAATAATACAGAAAGGTTATGAAGGACACTTAATGAACACAATACAATACATCTTGAAACTAATAACAAAACTAAATAAATAAGCAACAAATTTGAAAACAATCTCCAAAATTACTTGCTTAAATGTATTGCTTTAAAAAATAGTCATAACAGTGAATATCAAAATATATAAGACAAAATCAAAATTTTGCCCATAAGGAAATTCACAGATTTACATCTTTTCATTATGTCAACAAAGTATGAAACTAAATAAAATATTAAATTCAAGAGCTCAGATTATAACAGTAAAATACAGTAAAAGGTAATGTAAGAAATGATTAGTATATCTAACAAAATAAGAAAATAGATAACAGTAGAAGCCAAACTGCAGATTATAATAATCCAAAGTATATTATGAAAAAAATCAAATACACAGCTGATATGGTTTGGCTGTGTCCCCACCCAAATCTCATCTTGAATTGTAGTTCCCATAATCCCCAACTGGCATAGGAGTGACCTAGGGGAAGGTAATTGAATCATGAGGGTGGTTACCTTCACACTGTTCTTGTGATAGTGAGTGAGTTCACATGAGATCTGATGGTTTTATAAGGGGCTTTTCCACTTTTGCTCAGTATTTCTCCTTCCTGCCTCCATGTGAAGAAGGATGCATTTGCTTCCCCTTCTGCCATGATTGTAAGTTTCCTGAGGCCTCTCCAGCCCTGAAACTGTGAGTCAATTAAACCTCTTTCCTTTATAAATTACCCAGTCTCAGACATTTTTTTTATGGCAGTGGGAGAACAGCCTAATACAGTAAATTGGTACCACAGAGAGTGGAGTGCTGCTATAAAAATACCTGAAAATTTGGAAGAGATTTCGAAACTGGGTAACAGGCAGAGGTTGGAATAGTTTTGTTACCTTAGAAGAAGACAGAAAAATGTGGGAAAGTTTGGAAGTTCCTAGACACTTGGAGGACTTAGAAGACAGAAAGATGTGGGAAAGTTTGGAAATTCCTGTAGACTTGTTGAGTGGCTTTGACCAAATGATTATACTGATATGGACAATAAAGTCCAGTCTGAGGTGGTCTCAGATGGAGA
This sequence comes from Homo sapiens, assembly GCF_000001405.40. Classification (NCBI taxonomy): domain Eukaryota; kingdom Metazoa; phylum Chordata; class Mammalia; order Primates; family Hominidae; genus Homo; species Homo sapiens. The sequence continues at coordinate 3,162,219 of NC_000024.10, read as the reverse complement.
TGAGAAACTTGTTGGGAACTGGAGTAAAGGTCATTCCTGCTATGTAAAGAGACTGGTGGCATTTGGCCCCTGCCTTACAGTTCTATGGAATTTTGACTTTGAGAAAGATGGCTTAGGGTATCTTGTGGAAGAAACTTATAAGCAGCAAAGCATTCAAGAGAAAGTAGAGCATAAAAGTTCAGACAATTTGCAGCCTGACAATGCAATAGAAAAGAAAACCCTATTTCTGAGGAGAAATTCAATCTGGCTGCAAAAATTTGCTTATGTAATGAGGAGCCAAATGCTAATTGCCAAGACAATGGGGAAAATGTTTCTGAGGCATGTAAGAGACCTTCATGGCAGCCCCTCCAATCACAGGCCTGGAGGCCTAGAAGGAAAGAATGGTTTCATGGGCTGGGTCCAGGGCCTTGCTGCTTTGTGAAGCTTTGGGACTTGGTGCCCTGCATCTCAGCCGTGGCTACAAGGGGCCAAGGTACAGCTCAGGCTGTTGTTTCAGATGGTGCAAGCCTCAAGCCTTGGTGGCTTACACTTGGTGTTGGGCCTGTGAGTGTACAGAAGACAAGAATTAAGGTTTGGGAACCCCCACCTAGATTTCAGAGGATGTATGGAAATGCCTGGATATCTAGGCAGAAGTTTACTTGAGGAGCAGAGCCCTCATGGAGAACCTCTGCTAGGGCAGTGTGGAAGAAAAATGTAGGGGTTGGAGCCCCGACATAGAGTCCTCACTGGGACACTACCTACTGGAGAAGATGGCCATCATCCTCTAGATTGCAGAATGGTAGATCCACCGACAGCTTGCACTGTGTGCCTGGAAAAGCCAAAGACACTCAATGCCAGCTTGTGAAAGCAGCTGGGAGGGGAGATGTGCCCTGCAAAGCCACAGGGGCAGAGCTGCCCAAGGCTGTGGGAGCCAACCTCTTGCCTTAGTGTGACCTGGATGTGAGACATTGAGTCAAAGAAGATCATTTTGGAGTTTTAAGATTTGCCTGTCCCACTGGATTTTGGACTTGCATTGGGGCCTGTGGACCCTTCACTTTGGCCACTTTCTCCCATTTGTAATGGGTATATTTACCCAATTCCTGTATTCCTATTTTATCTAGGAAGCAACTAACATGCTTTTGATTTTACAGGCTCAAAGGCAGAAGTAAATTGTTTTGTCTCATGTGAGACTTTGGACTTGGACATTCGGGTTAGTGGACTATTGGAAAGGCATGATTGTGTTTTGAAATGTGAAGACATAAGACTTGGAAGGAGCCAAGGACAGAATGATATGGTTTGATGGTGTCCCCACTCAAATCTCATCTTGAATTGTAGTTCTCATAATCTTCACATGTCAGTGGCAGATAATTGAATCATGGGGGCACTTACCTCCATGCTGTTCTTGTGATACTGAGTGACTTCTCACAAGATCCAATGGTTTTATGAAGGGTTTTTCTTCTTTTGCTCAGCACTTCTTTTTCCTGTTGCCACGTGAAGAAGGATGTGTTTGCTTCCCCTTCTAACATGATTGTAAGTTACCTGAGGCTTCCCCAGCCTTCTGGAACTGTGAATCAATTAAACACCCTTTCTTTATAAATTACCCAGTCTCAGGCAGTTCTTTATAGCAGCGTGAGAATGGACTAATACAACAGCTAAATATCTTGTCAATTTTATATGAAGAAACAATTTACAATATCAGGGATGAAAACAGTAAACTATAGGTAAACAAGAGGATTATTAACAATAGTAGTATTATAAAATTGTTATGTAAACTGGGAAATCTGTGTACAATTTTCTCAGAAAATTTACTTTGCTAAAGTAGATTCAGGAAAATTGGCATACTTGAATATTCTAGGAATTAGCATACCTGCTGGAAGCAGATCACTATATTGATAATTAATTTTAATATTTATTAAAAATATAATTGCTCATAGAATGTAATTTATGTCACTGGGGATAATCAAGTGGCTCGAGATAATTATATTTTTATAGGGATAAAAATTTGTGCCCTAATACAACCACTTGAAAATGTTACAGTGTCATCCAAACATGTGGAAGTGTAATGTTCATATTGATTATGCACTTTGTTTATGCATTAATTTAGAGAACCTGATTCTTTCTATTTTGTCGTTCATTTTCCTGCATGTTTGAAGCTGGGCCAAAGAAATATCATTCTGGATTATGGGAAATATCCCCCACACCACTAGCAGAAACCCACAAACAACATCAACCAAGTGGACAAAAATAACATGAGATGATTAATTGTTATATTTATAATATGAGAGATGACAAAATCTATTTGAAGTATGAGTCTAATTAGAAAGTTATGCATAAATACAAAAAATACAATTCTGTATATAAAATAAATTCTTTAGAGAGTGTAATTATAAAAATATCATTGACATTTTATTGCAAATGTGAACATTTTATAATATAATTAACTATAAATATGTAAGTACTATAAAAATAAAATTGAGAGTCCTTCTAAGTTCCTGAGTGAAAACTGCATATTATGATGTCAATTCTTGCCTAAATACAATTATTATAATATACTTCAAATTGAGTAATTTTATTTAAAAACTTGCAAATATAATTCCCAAGTTTTCTGGAAACCATAAATAGAATAACAACAAAGAAAATGTTTACATAGAAACGTATTTAATGATGGTTGTGTCAAGAGTTCTGAAAATGTACCATTAAACAAGATGATCAAGGATATATAGAAAGATTAAACAAAACAGAGTGTCCAGAACTATTATAGAACGAAGTATAATTATTTAATATAATGATATGTTTTATATATGACCTGCATCAAATACAAATGCATATTATCTTTTTGGGAGTGGTTATTTTTATGCAAAACACTAAAAATAAAACTAATAAAATATAAGATTGTTTGATATGACTACAAAAACATAAAACTCTATGTGCGGATTGTGCAGAGACATACAACCTTGGTAAGATATCCTCAGGAAAGAATGAGATATATTTTTATTTTTATTTTTCCCTCTCTTGTTTTTTAAAGTCATAGTCTTGCTCTGTCATCCAGGCTGGATTGAAGTGGCCGAATCATAGCTCACTGCAACCTCAAACTTCTAAACCAAAGCAATTCTCCTGCCTCAGGCACCTGAATAATTCAGACTACGGGTTTGTGCCACCACACCTAGCTAACTTTTGACATTTTTATTTTTAGAGACAGGGTTTTGTTATATTTTTCAGTCTAGTCTCAAACTCCTGACCTCAAAAGATCTTCTCACCTTGGCCTCCCAGAGTGCTGGGATAACAGGTGTGAGCCATCATGCCCAGCCCTGAGGTTTAATTTTCTATTGGTCTACAAAAATAGGAAATTTAGTGTATAATTAAGTTCATTTAAATAAAATAAACAGAAAGTATATGTCTTTCAGACCTCAATTAGTAAACTGATGTTGATTTTCAAAGATAAACATGGATATAGGAATGCTACAAATCTTTTCAGTTCTTAAATTCACATAATGTGAATTGAGATTGTGATGGATACCTGTATGTGTATAGATACAGAAGTATGTTACTTGTAAAAGGGAACTATCTTAGTACATTTGTGTTCTATAACAAAATACCTGAGACTCAGGAATTTATAAATAACAGAACTTCATTTCTTTCAGTTCTGGAGACTGGGAAGTCCAGTATTAAGGAGCTGTTATTTGACGTCTTGTGAGAACCTTCTTGCTGTGTCCCCAAAGGGAAGAAGGTGGAAGAGCGAAAGGAAAAAGAATCTACTCTCTGAAAACCTTTTGTAAGGGCCCCAATCCCATGCATGAAGGCTCCACCCACGTGACTTAATCACCTTGTAACTTAAGCACCCACCTATTAATACTACCACATTGTTGATTAAGTTTCAACATATGAATTATGGAGGACATATTCAGACTAGAGTAGAAATAAAGCAAAATATAGATATTTCTGCATAGTGCCATATTTAACAAATTGTGTGCTGTAAATCTGTGTTATTTGTATTAGTAAAAAATATGTAACGTTTAAACCAAATTTAAAATTATCACGAGTACAGAATCATAAATCCTTTTATGGGTCTATTGCAAGCCAAAGTATTCTGTTGGATTTCTGTTCAAAACTGAAGTCATTTTAGTCAATTTAGTCCTCAGATATTAGTTCCTATTATATATGCATCATATTATTTATCATATTGGTTACACAACACTTCCTCAAGTGATTACTTCATGATTGAGCAGGAGACTTGCTAGGTTATTAGATAATAATAGGCAGTATTTGAGATTCTTCTGAATGATATTTACATATATATTAGAAATGAGAAAAGGCAAAAGGCCTTCACTACCTAATGAAGTTATTTCTGTGAGTGGTGGTGGTGATGGAGAGATGCATAAACAATTTTAAACAGTTGGGCCTTCCAAACCCTCTTAATTTTATATGATCATTCACATTGCTGATGTATCAAGTCCTGCAAAGAAATATATTAAAATTTCATAAAATTAAAGTGTTAAATAATTTCAATGAATGTAAAATACTTCTTTTAATCATGAAAACACTCCTAGAACATTTTCTCCTCCTACCCAGAACAATAACAATTAAAGTATTCCAGGAATGTTGACGACTCATTACATAAGAAAGTAAAACTGGAAATAGCACAAAGCTCCCAATGGCCAAGTCAGAATGAGATAAATCTCATTATGTAAGATTACTATTTTATATTTCTATGAATGCACAAGTTGTTCCTGAAGTAATAGAGAGAAACAAGTGTTAGTGGGCTAAGTATATTTTTACAAAGATAATGACAAATTTTAATAACTACTTTGAAATATGTGACATTTTAAAATATGGCAGCATACTAAGAATAAGTGAATCCACTTTTCATGGATCATTATCTACAACACATTTCCACTTTTATGCCACAGAGATTTTCAAGCCATCGAAAGCAATGTCACAGGAAGATAAAGGGAGTCTTGCTGTTTTTCAAAGGGCAGGAATGTTTACTCCTTTAAGAAAAACCATCCTGACTGAAAGATACCTATTATTTGAAATATGAAATTCTATGTCTTTCCTTAGATCTGTAGAATTAATGAGACAAAGTGCTCTGTGAGATGAATTAAAACTAAAAACTTCTTATTCTAATTTGGGGTCTTAGAAATACTAGGTAGATAATGTAGTTTGAATATATGTGCCTGCCTAATCAGGTTAAATGATAATACTCAGTGTAAATGTGCGGCCTGGCAAGAGGTGTTTGGGTCATGAGGAGGGATCCACCCTGGCTTGGTGCTGTCCTCACAATAGCAAGTTCTCTTGATATCTGGTTGGTTGACAGTATATGGCACCTCCTCTCCAACTCCCTCTTGATCCTGTTTTCACCATATGACATGCCTGCCCTGCTTTACCTTCCACTATGAGTAAAAGCTCTCTAGGCCTTCCCAGAAGCTGAGAAGATGCTTCCACTATGCTTTCTGTACAGCCTGCAAAAAATGTGAGCCAATTACATCTCTTTTCTTTAAATTACCCAGTCTCAAGTATTCCTTTATGGCAATGTAAACATGGCCTACTAAAGAAAACTGGTACCAAAAGATACCTGAAAATGTGGAAGGAGCTTTAGAACTGGATAACAGGCAGAAGTTGGAAGAGTTATGAGGCCTCGGGAGAAAAAAAGAAAATGAGATAAAGTTTGGAACTTCTTAAGGACTGGTTACATGATTGGAAACAAACTGTTGATAGTGATATGGACAGTGAATTCTCGGCTGGCAGGGTCTCAGATGGAAATGAGGAACTTATAGGAAACTAGAGCAAAGGTCTGCCTTAGCAAAGAGCTTGGTGACATTCTGTTAATGACCCAGGGATCAGTGGAAGTTTGAACTTGAGAGTGATTACCTAGGGTATGAGGCAGAAGAAATTTCTAAGCAGCAAAGCATTCAAGATGTGGCCTAGCTGCTTCTAACAGCCTATGCTCAAATGCATTAAAAAAATGGCTTAAATTTGAAATTTATGTTTACAAATGTATATTTGCAACAAAAACATTTGGAAAATTTACCACCAGGCCATGTAACAAAGAAAGGAAAAGCTTTTTTGGGGGGAGAAGCATTCATGCAGGCTTCAGAGAAAGCACTTGCTAGAGAAATTTTCATAACTATAAGGGAGCAAAAAACTAATAGCCAAGACCATGGGATAAAGACCTGGAAAGCATTTATCCTATTTATTTATTTGTTGCTCATTTATTTTTTGTTTATTTTATTGGAATATAAGCTCTATAAAATAAAATGGACCTGTTGCTCTTGCGTATCACTGTATGTCAAGAGGTTATCATACAGTATGAGGCAGAGTGGGCACTAAACAAATGTTTATTTTGATGAGGAAAAGATGGATAAATTGATGACAAAGGTGTGACATATTTCTCGTACAAAAAAAAAAGAACACCTTGGGGCACTAAAAGTATAGAAAAATTGCTAAGAAGCCAGAAGGGGGAATTAAATTAAAATTAATTAAGGAGATTGGGATCAAGATGGCAAAATAGAAACCTCCAGCAATTGTCCCCCTTGCAGGGACACCAAGTTAACAACTATTTACGCAGAAAAAACACCTTAATAAGAACCAAAAATCAGGTAAGCACTCACAGTACTTGGTTTTAACTTCATATCACTGAATGAGGCACTGAACGGAGAGAAAAACAGTCCTGAATCACCAATGTCATCGCAGTCTTACACCAAGTAGCCGTAGCTTGGTGAAGAGAGCATCTCTCGGTGCTGGGGGAGGGATTACACAGCAAATGTGAGGAATTAAACTGAATGTTGTCCTGTTGCAGCAAACAAATAAATGAATTAATTAATTAATTAAATAAAAATAAAAACCACGAAACAAAAAAAACCTCAGAGTAATGCCCACCCACAGAGGGGACACTTAAACCAGCCCTAGCAAGAGGAGAATTGCCAATCCTAGTGGTCTGAACATGAGACCCTGCAAACCTCACCACCAAGGGCCAAAGTGTTATCAGTGTCTAAGAAAATTTGAAAGACAGTCTAGGCCATAACGACTGCAACTCTTAGATGAGTCCTAGGGCTGAATTAGACCCACAGACAGTGGACTGCGGAATATTGTGACATACTGAGACACCAGCTGGGGCAGCCAAGGAAGGACTGCCAACACCCCTCCCCTAATCTCAGGCTACACAGCTCATGGTTATAAAAGATATCTCTCCCTTCTGCACGTGGAGAGCAGAGAGAAGAGTGGGGAGGACTTTGTCTTGCATCTTGGACACCAGCTCAGCCACAGCAGGATAGGGCACCAGTAAGAATCAAGAGGCCCCTATTCCAGGCCCTAGCTCAGAGGTATCATTTCTAGACACACCCCAGGGCAGAAGGGAACCCACTGCTTTGAAAAAAGAACACAGTCCTGCCAGCATTTATCAATGGATAACTGAAGAGCCCTTGGGCCCTGAATAACCAGTAGCTATATCCAGGTACTATATCAAATATCTTGGTGAGCCTCTGAGATTTGCTGGCATCAGGTGAGACTCAGCACATTACCAGCTATGGTGGCTATGGGGCAAAACTTTTGCTTGAGGAAAGCAGACAAAATAGTAAACGGAACTTTGTCTTGCATCTTAGGAACCAACAATGCCACAGGAAGTACTGAATAGTCTCTTGGGGTCTCTGATTCTATAGCTTTACTCTTAGATGGCATTTCTGGATTTTCCCCGGGACAGAGGGCATCCCACTTCCCTAAAGGGTGAGCTCCATGCCGGGCAGTCACCACAAATTGACTTAAGAGGCCTTGGGCCTTAAGAAAACATCAGTGGTACTCTGTCAGTACTCCTCTTTATCAGAGGTGGCAGTGGATACAGGGTGAGGCTCCTCTGCCTTTGGAAAGGGGAGGAAAGAGTGGGAAGAACTGCGTCTTGTGGTTTGAATGCCACCTCAGCTGCAATACAATAGAATACCAGGTACACTACTAAGGTTTTTGACTCTAGACCCTGACTTTGAAATGGCACTTCTGAACTCACCTGGGTCTTGGGGACCTCTGAAGGGAATGACACAGGCTTGGATGGCTTTGCCACCTGCTGATTATAGAGTCCCAGCGCCTTCAGCAAACATAGGCAGTAGCCAGGGGGTGGTTACAGCAGGCCTTGGGCAAGACCCAGCACAGTCATTGTGGTGTTGGGCACAGGGATGCTTGTGTCACTCCACCCCCAGCTTTGGGGGCTCACAACAGAGGCAGAGACTCTGTATGTTTGGGAGAAAGTAAGGGAAAAGAACAAGAGTCTCTGCTTAATAATTCAGAGAATTCTTTCTGATCTGTTCCAAGATGATCAAGGCAGCATCTCTATGGGTCTGCAAGAACCACAGCATCACTTAGCTTGGAATGCCCCCAAAGCAGAAACAGCTTAGATAAAAACATCCAAGTTCTTTCAAATAACTTAAGCCTTCCCAAGAAGGATGGCTACAAGTAAGCCCAAACAGTGAAGACTACAAGAAATAGTTCCTCAATGTCCAAACACCGAAGAAACATCTACTAGCATCAATACCATCCAGGAAAACAAGACTGCAACAATTGAACTAAATAAGGCACTGGGGAACAATCCTCGAGAAATAGAGATATGTGACTTTTCAGAAAAGAATTCAAAATAACTGTGTTAAGGAAACTCAAAGAGATTCAACATAACACAGAGAAGGAATTCAGATTTCTATCAGATATATTTAACAAATAGATTCAAATATTTTTTTAAAAAAAGCAGAAATTCTGTAGCTGAAAAAATGTAATTGGCATACTGAAGAATGCATCAGAGTCCTTTAATAGAAGAATGGAAAAAGCAGAAGACAGAATTATTAAGCTTGAAGACAAGCTATTTGAAAACACACAGTCAGATGAGACAAAACAAGAACAAAACAAACAAAATAAAAAAATGAAGCACCGCTACAGAATCTAGAAAAGTGCCTCAAACAGGCAAATCTAAGAGTTATTGGCCTTAAAGTGGAGATAGAGAAAAAGGTAGGGTAGAAAGTTTATTCAAAGAGATAATAACAGAGAATGTCCCAAAACTAGAGAAAGATATCAATATCCAAGTACAAGAAGGTCATAAAACACCAAGCAGATTTAACACAAACAATACTACCTCAAGAAATTTAATAGACTCCTGAAGGTCAAGGATCCTAAAAGCAGCAAGAGAAAAGAAACAAATGACATATAATGGAGCTCCAACAAATCTGGCAGCAGGACAGCTGACTTTTTTATTGGAAACCTCACAGGCCAGGAGAGAGTGACATAACATATTTAAAGTGTTAAAGAAAAAATAATATTCTATCTTAGAATAGTATATCTGGTGAAAATATTCTTGAAACATGAAAAATAAATAAAGATTTTCCCAGATAGACAAATCTGAAAGATTTTGTCAACACCACACACATTCTACAAGAAATGCTAAGGGGAGTACTTTGATCAGAAAGAAAAAAAATCACTAATTAGCAATAAATAATCATCTGAAGCTACAAAACTTCCTGGTAATAGTAGGTACACAAACAAGTATAGCCTATTACAAGTCTGTAACTGTGGTGTGTAAACTACTCTTAGGCTAACTAGAAAGACTGAACAATGAACCAATCAAAAATAATAACTACAGCACCTTTTCAAGACATAGTCATTACAGTAAGGTATAAATAAAAACATCAAAAAGATAAAAAGCAGGGCAACAAAGTTAAGGTAATGTTTTATTAGCTTTCTGTTTGTTTGTTTATGCAAATAATGTTAAGTTTTTATCAGGTTAAAATAATGGGTTATAAGATAGTGTTTGCAAGCCTCCTTGTAACCTCCAACCAAAAAGACCTACAATAGATACACAAAAAATAAAAAGCAAGAAAGTCAATCATATCACCAGAGAATATCATTAATATCTTCACTAGAGGAAGACATGAATAAAAGAAGAAAGGAAGAGAAGACCACAAAACATCCAGAAACAAATAACAAAATGGCAGGAGTAAGTTCTTTCTTATTAATAATAACATTAAATGTAAATGGACTAAACTCTCCAATCAAAAGACATAGAGTGGCTGAATAAATTTTAAAAAAGACCCATTGATCAGTTCTAAAAGAAACACACTTTACATGGAAAGACAAAAGTAGACTAAAAATAAAGGGATGGAAAAAAATATTCCATGCCAAAGGAAACTAAAAAAAATAGGAGTTGCTATACTTACATTAGACAAAAAAGATTTTAAGACAAACACTGTAAGAATATACAAAGAAGATCACTATGTAATGATAAAGGCAATTCAGCAAGAGACTATAACAATTATAAATATACATGGACCCAACAGTGGAGCACCAAGATATATAAAGAAAATATTATTAAAGCTAAAGAAAGAGATAGACCTCAGTACAATAATAGCTGGAGACTTCAATACCTCACTTTCAGCATTTGGCAGACCTTTTAGACAGAAAATCAACAAAGAAATTTGTGACAAATCTGCACTGCAGAACAAATGGACCTAATAGATATTTACAGAACATTTTACTGAACAGCTGAATAATACACATTCTTCTCCTCAGCACATGTATAATTCTAAGATAGACCATATCTTAAGCCACAAAACAAGTCTTAATACATTCATAAATATTGAAGTAACATTAAGTATCTTCTTTGACCACAATAAAACTAGATATTAATAACAAGAGGAATTTTTGAAATTATACAAGTAATGAAAATTAAGCAATATGCTCCTGAATGACCAGTGATTCAATGAAGAAATTAAGAAGGAAATTGAAAAGTTCTTGAAACAAATAATAATGAAAACAAAACATATGGGATAAGGGATACAGTAAAAACAATACCAAAGAGGGGAGTTTATAGGTTAAGTGTCTACATCAAAAGGAGGAAAAATTCCAAGTAAGTATTCTAATGACACACCTTAAATAAATAGAAAAGCCAGAGCAAACCAAATCCCAAATTAGTAGGAGAAAAGAAATAATAAAGATCAGAGCAGAAATAAGTGAAATTAAAATAAAAAATAGAAAAGATAAATGAAACAAAAAGTTGGTTTTTTGAAAAGTTAAACACAACTGACAAACTTATAGCCAGACTAACTAAGAAAAAAAAAAAGAGGAGACCCAAATAAATAAAATCAGAAATTAAAAAGGAGACATTACAACTGATACTGCAGAAATTCAAAGATTATTAGAGGCTACTATGAGCAACTATATTCCAATTGAAAAATCTAGAAGAAATGGACAAATTCCTAGATGCATACCACCTACCAAGCTTAAACCAGGAAGACATACAAAACCTGAATAGACCAATACATCACAAGCAATGATATGAAAGCCATAATAAAAAGTTTTCTCATAATAAAAAGCTTCGAACCTAATGGCTTCACTGATGAATTTTACCAAACATTTAAAGAAGAACTAAAACCAATCCTGTTCAAACTGTTCTGAAAAATAGAGAAGAAGGGAATACTTCCAAACATATTCTATGAGGCCAGTATTTCTCTGATACCAAAACCAGACAAAGACACATCAGAAAAATAAACTACAGGCCAATATCTCTGAAGAATGTTGATGTAAATGTCCTCAACAAAACACTAGCAAACAAAATTCAGCAATACATTAGAAATATCATTCATTATGATCAAGTGGGATTTAATCCTGGGATGCAAGGATGGTCCAACAGGGGCAAATCAATCAGTGTAATACATCATAGAAACAGAATGAAGGACAAAATCCATATGATTATTTCAATTGATGTTAAAAAACATTTGATAAAATTTCATATCTCTTCATGATTAAAAACCCTAAAAAACTGTGTGTAGAAGGGACATATCTCAACATAATAAATGCCATATATGACAGACCCACAGCTAGTATCATACTGAATGAGGAAAAAGTGAAATCCTTTCCTGTAAGATGTGGAACATGACAAAGATGCCCATTGTCAACACTGTTATTCAACATAGTGCTGGAGTTCCTACCTAGAGCAATCAGAAAAGAGAAAGAAATAAAGGGCATCCAAACTGGAAAAGAATAAGTCACATTATCCCTGCCTGCTAATGATATGATCTTATATTTGAAAAAACTGAACAGCTCCACAAGAAAACTATTAGAACTGATAAACAAATTCAGTCAAGTTGCAGGGCACATAATCAACACACAAAAATCAGTACCATTTCTATATGCCAACAGTGAACAATGTGAAAAAAGAATAAAAAAGTAATTTCATTTGCAATAGCCACACATAAAATTAAATACCTAGAAATTAACAAAATAAGTGAAAGGTCTTTTTAACAAAAACCATAAATCCATGATGAAAGAAATTGAAGAGGAAACAAAAAAGTAAAAAATCATCTATACTAATGAACTAAAAAACCAATATTATTAAAATGTACATATTACCAAAGCAATCTGCAGATTCAATGCAATGCCTATCAAAATACCAATGACATTCTTCACAGAATTAGAAAAAATGTTAAAATTTATATGGAACCACAAAAGACCCAGTATAGCCAAAGCTGTCCTAAGCAAAATGGACAAAACTGGAGGAATTACATTACCTGACTTCAAATGGTACTACAGAGCTATAGTAACCAAAACAACTTGGTACTGATATAAAAACAGACACATAGACCAATGGAACAGAATAGAGAACACAGAAACAAATTTATACACCCAAAGTGAATTCATTTTTGACAAAGATGCCAAGAATATACATAGGGGAAAAGATAATCTCATCAATAAATGGTGCTGGGAAAACTGGATATTCATAGATAAAAGAACAAAACTAGGCCCTTATTTTTCACTATATAAAAATTAAATCAAAATAGATTAAAGACTCTAATATAAGATCTCAAACTATGAAACTCCTGCAAGGAAATATTGCGGAAAGTCTCCAGGACATCGGTCTGGGCAAAGGTTTCTACAAGCACAGGTAAGCAAACCAAACATGGACAAATGGAATCACATCAAATGGAAAAGCTTCTGCACAGCAAAAAAAAACAATTAACAAAGTGAAGAGACAATCCACAGAATAGGAGAAAATATTTGCAAACTACCCATCTGACAAGGGATTAATAACCAGAATATATAAGGAACACAAACAACTCTATAGGAAAAAATCTGATAAACTGATTTAAAAATAGGCAAAAGATTTTAATAGTCTTTTCTCAGAGAAAGACATACAAATGGCAAACAGGCATATGAAAAGGTGTTCAACATTACTGCACATCCAATAAATGCTAATCAAAACTACAATGAGTTATCATCTCACCCCATTTAAAATGGCTGATATGCAAAAGACAGTTAATAACAAATGCTGGCAATGATGTGGAGAAAACGGCATCTACAATGTTGGTGGAAATTTAAATTATTACACCCATTATGGAGAACAGTTTGGAGGTTTCTCAGAAAACTAAAAATTGAGCTACCTTATGATCCAGTAGTTGCACTGTTTAGTATATGCCCCCAAATTGGAAATCAATATATCAGAGATATCCACACTCCTATATTTGTTGCAGCAATGTTTGCAATAGCTAAGACTTGGAAGCAACCTAAGTGTCCATCATCAGATGCATGAGTAAAGAAAATGTGGTACATATACAAAATGGAGCACTATTCAGCCATAAAAAAGGATAAAATCCAGTCATTTGCAACAACATGAATGGAAATGGAGATCATTACATTAATCGAAACAAGCCAGGTACAGAAAGGCAAACGTTGCATGTTTTCACTTATTTATGGGTTCTAAATGTCAAAACAATTGAGCTCATTGTTATAGAAAGTAAAAGGATAGTTACCATAGTCTGGCAAGAGTAGCAGGGGTTTGAGAGGGAGGTAAGGATGGCTAATGAGTACAAAAACGTAGAATAAATAAGACCCAAACGTAGAATAAATAAGTCAGCACATTTGCATGACTATAGTCAATACTAATTGTATATTTTAGAATAACTTAAAGAATGTAATTTGATTGTATGTAACTCATAAATGCTTGAGGGCATATTTACCCCATTCTCCATAATGTGCTTATTTTACATTGCATATCTGTATCAAAACATCTCATGAACCCTATATACATATACTCATACTATTTACCCATATACATTTAAAAAAATTTTTTTTAAACTTAATTACTGGTATTGGAAAATGATGTATGAAGGATATGTTTTTTCTTTAGCTTGGCCTGATTATTAGGTAGAGTTTTGAGTTTTCTTTCATTTTGTATTTTTTGGAGGGTGTGGGGTTGAAGAGGCATTGCATTTTACAAGCAGTACAATTTCAGTATAGAGTTCTGTGATTGACAAATATAGTCAATTATATAACCATCAGGAAAATCAAGATATAGATTTGTTCCATTACTGTAAAACATTTCATTATGCTGTTTGTCATCAATTCTTATTCCCAATCCCTGACAACCACCCATCAGGTTTTTCTCCCTATTATTTTGTCTATTTAAGCATGTCATATTAATGGAATTATTTGTAATATACCCCTTATATGTATTTTTTCTTAACAGAATACATTTGAGATTCATCCATGTTTTTGAGTATATTCATAGTTCATTCATTTGTAATTGCCAAGTAGTATTATGTTATATAGATAGTTGTACTGTAGCCTGCTTCTTTATTAACCCATTACAAGGAAATTTGTTCTTTCTGTTTTCTGGAAATTATAAATATATCAGTTGTAAAAATTCTTTTACTGTGTGTGTGTGTGTGTGTGTGTGTGTGTGTGTGTATTTAAGATCTTATTTCACACAGGAAAAAACCTAGCAGTAAGATTACCAGGTAACATTTTAAGTGTATAATTAACATTGAGAAAACTGTTAAGTACCTAGTTAGAATGTTAATTATACACTTAATGCTTTCCTACCAACAATATGTGAGAGCTCCAGTTGCTCTATCTCTTCATCAACACTTAGTATGTCATTTAAAAAAATGTTTTTGCCATTATAATATGTGCATGGAGAAATTTCATATTTTTCTCCATTCCCTTCCATAATGAATAATGGGGTTAATCTTTTCACATTCTCATTAGCCATGTGTATATTTAATTTAGTCAAGCATCCTTTCATATGTGATATAGTTTCACTGTGTCCCTACCCAAATCTCATCCTGATTTGTAGCCCCCATAATCCTCACATGTCATGGAAGGGACCCAGTGAAAGGTAATTGAATCACAGGGGTGGATTTTTCCCGTGCTGTTCTTGTGATAGTGGCTAAGTCTCATGAGATCTGGTGGTTTTATAAAGGGCAGTTCCCCTGCACATGCTCTCTTGCCTGCCACCAGGTAAGATGTGCCTTTGCTTCTCCTTTTGTGTTCTGCCATGATTGTGAGGCCTCCCTAGCCATGTGAAACTGTGAGTACATTAAACCTCTTTCCTTTATAAATTATCCAGTCTTGGGTATGTCTTTATTAACAGCATGAGAACAGACCGATACAGTAGATTGGTACAGCAGAGAGTGGGACACTGCTATAAAGATATCCTAAAATGTGGAAGCAACTTTGGAACTGGTCAACAGTCAGAGGTTGAAACAGTTTGGAGGTCTCAGAAGAAGATAGGAAAATTTAGGAAAGTTTGGAACTTCTAGAAACTTGGAGAGTTCAGAAGACAGGAAGATGTGGGAAAGTTTGAAACTTCCTAGAGACTTGTTGAATGGGTTTGACCAAAATGCTGATAGTGATATGGACAATAAGGTCCAGGCTGAGGTGGTCTCAGATGGAGATGAGGAACTTGTTGGAAACTGGAGTAAAGATCACTTTTGCTATGCAAAGAGACTGGTGGTATTTGGCCCCCACCATACAGATCTGTGGACCTTTGAACTTGAGAGAGATAACTTAGGGGATCTGGTGCAAGAAATTTCTAAGCAGCAAAGCATTGAAGAGAAAGTGGAGCATAAAATGTTGATCACCAAGACAATGGAGAAAATGTCTCCAGGTCATGTCAGAGACCTTCGTGGCAATCCCTCCCATCACAGGCCTGGAGGCCTAGGAGGGAAAAATTGTTTTGAGGGCCAGGCCCAGGGCCACCCTGCTGTGTGCATCCTTAGGGGCCTGTTGCCTTGCATCTCAGTTGCTCCAATGGTGGCTAAAAGGGTCCAGAGTATCACTTGGGCTGTGGCTTCAGAGGATGCAAGCCCCAAGGTTTGGCAGTTTTCACATGGTGTTGAGCATTCCGGTGCATAAAAATAAAAATTTGAACTTTGGGAACCTCCACCTAGATTTCAGAGGATGTGTGGAAACACCTGGATGTCCAGGCAGAAGTTTGGTGCAGAAACGGGTCCCTCATGGAGAACATCTGCTAGGGCAGTGCAGATGAAAACTGTGGGGTTGAAGGCCCCACACAGAGTCCCCACTGGGGCACTGCCTAGTGGAGCTATGAGAAGAGGGCTACTGTCCTCCAGACCCCAGAATGATAGATCCACCAATAGTTTGCACTATGTGCCTGGACAAGCTGCAGAAACTCAATGCCAGCACATGAAAGCAGCTGGGAGGACCTGCAAAGTTACAGGGGTGTAACTGCCCAAGGCTGTGGGAGCCTACCCCTTGCATCAGTGTGCTCTGGATGTGAGACATGGAGTCAAAGGGATCATTTTGGACCTTTACAGTTTAATGTCTGCCCTATCGGATTTTGGACTCGCATGGGGCCTGTAGACCCTTTGTTTTGGTCACTTTCTTCCATTTGGAATGGGTGTATTTACCAAATGCCTGTATCCACATTATATCCAGGAAGTAACTATCTTGCTTTTGATTTTACAGGCTCATAAGTGGAAGGGACTTGCCTTTTCTCAGATGAGACTTTGGACTTTTGAGTTAATGTTGAAATGAGTTAAGACTTTGGGAGACTGTTGGGAAGGCATGATTGGTTTTGGAATGTGAGAACATGTGATTTGGGGGAAGCCAAGTGTGGAATGATATGGTTTTGCTTTGTCCCTATCCAAATCTCATTTTGAATTGTAGCTCCCAAAATCCCCACATGTTGTGGGAGGAACCAGTTGGGAGGCAATCATCATTTTCCCATGCTGTTTTCATGATAGTGAATAATTTTCATGAGCTCTGATGGTTTGATAAAGGGCAGTTCTCCTGCACACATTCTCTTGTCTGCCACCATGAATGATGTGCCTTTGCTTCTTATTTGCCTTCTGCCATGATTATAGGGTCTCTTCAGCCATGTGGAACTGAGTCCATTAAACTTCTGTCCTTTATAAATTACCCTGTCACTGGTATGCCTTTACTAGTGGTGTGAGAACAGACTAATAAAATATATTTTGTCCTTTTTTGAAGGATTGCTGTTTACACATTACTGAGATTTGAATGTCCTTTATACATTCTGGTTATATGTCTCTTATCAGATATATGGTCTTAAAATATTTTCTCCCAGAAAAAGTGTGATTTTTCTTTTCATTACCTTAACAGTGTATTTTGAAGAGCAGAAGTTCTTAATTTCCATAATGTCCAATTTATCTAGTGTTATTCTTCTGTGACTGTACTTTTGGTAAAATATTATATATATATGTATATATATGTATATATATGTATATATATATGTGTATATATATGTATATATATATGTGTATATATATACGTAACCCAATGAGGCTAAGTTTTTCTATTATATTTTATTCTTGAAGTTGTATAGTTTGCAGTGTTGTATATAGGTTTATAAAACATTATGAGTCATCTTTTATATAGGTTGCATTTTGTATTGTTTTATTTTTATTGAATATGATTGTCCAATTTTTCAAGCATAACTTAGTTAAAAGACTGTCCATTCTTCATGAAATTGCTCTTAACTTTGTATAAAATTAACTGGCAATATATACGTGACTCTATTTTTAGAATTGTATCAGTTTTTAACACAGAGAATGGCATTAAAAATAGAAAAATATATGAGCAAATATATATTATTGAAAAGGGGAAAATCACATTTGGAGTCATGCAAGTAGCTGGATATGGGTTGAAAAAAAGCACAAATAAAAATATATAATTTGGACAGTTAGCTTGATAAAAAGCTCATGAATAACCCTAAATGTGATGCTATCTTCTGCTTTTCCTTTTCTGGCAACTTGTAGCAGTGCATTTACCTATATAGTGGAGTGTTCTATAATATGTTAGTTATCATAAAAAGTGTGATTGGAAATGTAAAGAGACTACAAAAGATAAAGGAGTTGGCAGGGCATTGTTGTAATGAAGGTAAGAAATAATAAGGGCCTAGAATATGCAATTGGCAGTAACTCACAATGTAAATAGGGACAGAGGTATAAATATAGAAGCTATTTTGAGCTAGATTTCCTAAGATTTGTTGAATGTGAATTTATGAGATGAATCTAAAAAAGGAAAACCTCAAAAAAAATCCAGGATTTTAAGCATGATTGGGGTTGGGCACAATTGACTTCAAACTCTGAATCTGCTGCCTAATGTCATATGAAATAAAGCAAGTTACCAAATTTCTCTAAGCCTCAAATCCCTTATTTGTAAAATGAGAATAATATTACCTATTGCATAATTTTTTTTTCCCTAGGGAAAATTGAAATACCATAAGTGTGATATCAGTTAGACCCTTAATACCTTATTGTAACCTTCCGATATAGTTTGGCTGTGTCCCCACCCAAATCTCATCGTGAATTGTAGCTCCCATAAGTCCCATGTGTTATGGGGAGGAACCAGTGGGAGATAATTGAATCATTGGGACAGTTTCCTCCATACCATTCTTGTGGTAGTGAATAAGTCTCATGAGAGCTGATGTTTTTATAAGGGATTTCACCCTCTTTATTTGGTCCTCATTCTCTCTTGCCTGCCACCATGTAACATGAGCCTTTTGCCCTCCACCCTGATTGTGAGGCCATCCCAGCCATGTGGAACTGTGAGTCCATTGAGCCTGTTTTTCTTTATAATTTACCTAGTCTTGGGTATGTCTTTATCAGCAGCATGATAGCAGACTAATACAGTAAATTGGTACCAGGAGTGAGGTGCTGCTGTGAAGATACCCAAAAATGTGGAAGCAACTTTGAAACAGGGTAACATGCAGAGGTTGGAACAGTTTGGAGGGCTCATAGGAAGATAGGAAAAAGTGGATAAGTTTGGTACTTCTTAGAGACTTGTTGAATGGCTTTGGCCAAAATACTGATAATAATATGGACAATAAAATCCAGACTGAGGTGGTCTCAGATGGAGATCAGGACCTTTTTGGAAATTGTAGTAAAGGTAGGCAGAGGAAATTTCTAACCAGCAAAGCAATCAAGAGGTGACTTGGGTGCTGTTAAAAGTATTCAGTTCCAAAACTGAAACAAAGCATAAAAGTTTGGAAAATTTGCAGCCAGACGATGTGCTAGAAAAGAAAAAACAATTTTTTGTGTAGAAATTCAAGCTGGCTGCAGAAATTTGTATAAGTAATGATGAGCCAAATGTTCATCACCAAGACAATTGGGAAAATATCTCCAGGGCATGTCAGAGAACATTGTGGAAACTCCACAGGCCCAGAGGCTTAGGGGAAAAATGGCTTTGTGGGCCAGATCCAAGGTCCCCCTGCTTCGTGCAGCCTAGGAACTTGGTGCCTTGAGTACCAGCCACTCTAGCCATGGCTAAAAGGGGCTATGATACAGCTTGGGCCATGACTTCAGAGAGTGTAAGCTGTATCCCTTGGTAGCTGCCACATGGTGTTGACCCTGTGGGTACACAGGAGTCAAGAATTGAGGTTTGGGAATCTCCACCTAGATTTCAGAAAATTTATGAAAATGCCTAGGTGTCCAGACAGAAGTTTGTTGCAGGTGCAGGGCCCTCATGGAAAGCCTCTGCTAGGGCAGTATGTAAGGAAAATGTGGAGTTGAAGCCCTGACACAGAGTCCCCACTGGGACACTGCCTCATGGAACTATAAGAAGAGGGCCACCATCCCCAAATCCCAGAATAGTAGATCCACTGACAGCTTGCACTGTGCACCTGAAAAAGCCACAGACACTCAACCCCAACCTTTGAAAGAAGCCAGGAGGGGGTCTGTGCTCTACAAAGCCACAGGAGTGGAGCTGCCTAAGACCATAGGAACCCACCTCTTGCATCAGTGTGACTTGGATGTGAGACATGGAGTCAAAGGGATCATTTTGGAGCTTTAAAATTTGAATGACCCACTGGATTTCAAACTTGCATGGGGCTTTTAGTCCCTTCATTTTGGCCAATTTCTCCCATTTGGAATGGGTGTATTTGTCCAATGACTGCACCCCCACTGTATTTAGGAAGTAACTAACTTGCTTTCGATTTTATAGGCTCATAGGTGGAAGGGACTTGCCTTATATCAGATAAGACTTTGGACTATGGACTTTTGAGTTAATACTGAAATGAGTTAAGAGTTTGGGGGATTGTTAGGAAGGCATAATTGATTTTGAAATGTGAGGACATAAAATTTTGGAGGGGCCAGAGGTGGAATGATATGGTTTGGCTGTGTCCCCACCCAAATATCATCTTGAATTGTAGTTCCCATAACTTGCACGTGTTGTGGAAGGAACCTGGTAGGAAT
The DNA here is from genome assembly GCF_000001405.40 of Homo sapiens. Lineage (NCBI taxonomy): Eukaryota > Metazoa > Chordata > Mammalia > Primates > Hominidae > Homo > Homo sapiens. The sequence goes on along the minus strand of NC_000024.10, from coordinate 3,141,763 downwards.
AATTGAATCATAGGGGCGGTTCCTCCATACTGTTCTCATGGTATTGAATAAGTCTCATGAGAGCTGATGTTTTTATAAATGGTTCCCCCTTTCACTTGGTTCTCATTCTCTCATGTCTGCCACCATTTAAGATGTGCCTTTCACCTTCTACCATGATTGTGAGGCCTCCCAAGCCACATGGAACTCTGAGTCCATTAAACCTCTTTTTCTTTATAAATTATCCAGTCTTGGGTATGTATTTATCAGCAGTGTGAAAACCATCAAACACATCTTCTCCAAAGAATTTCAGTTCTATAGACACACACATGTAAAAATTGTGAATTTGGGGGAGAAATAGTATATATTTGGATTTGGGCATGTTGGAATTTAGACAAGAATATGAAAGTATCCACATGCAATTGAAAATGCATGATGGGATCTCAGCAGAGGGGTCAGAATTAGAAATGTGGTTTCACATCAAAGAATTGTGACAGCTGAAATTTCAATAGTGGTTTAAATTGCTCTGGTTGGTAGTAAAAGCCAAAATAAGACATAGGGGCTGAATTTCAAGAACCATCTTTATTTAAGGTAAGAATGAATACAGATGAGTAAATGCATGAATAAGATTGAGGTAGAACAAAAAGCAGAACAGTGCACTGACACTAAAGAAAAGGAGGAAAAAATTTTCAAAAAGTGGCGGATCATCAGGATAAGATGTTCCAGTTTTAAATTTTGTTGAGTACTGAGAATAGGCTTTTGAATTTGTATTTAGGATATTCTCCATTACTTCTGAGGCAGCAATTTGAATAACTGTGATAAAAGAAGAATTCAGAATCCCATGGATGAATATTACTTCTAATATTGAAATAAACATGTATAACTTAGGTTTTTGATATATCTGTTGATAGAAGAAAGAAGATATAGAAACTACATTTCAGGATTAAAAAACATAATGAGAGGGGCATTTGTTTGTTTTTGGAGGTGATGCAGTGATGTATTTAATTAGCAGATACAGAGGAGGAAGGAATGAAGAGAGTTTGGAGAAGAAAAAAGAAGCAAGGATAAGTAAATATTCAAAGTCTCAGAAAATACAAAATTAAGCATAAATGCAAGGTTATTTTTGTAACAGTAGAACCCTTTTCATCAAAATAAAAGATAGATAAAAATGGCTGAAACATTCTAAGAGACTGCAGAAAATTGAGGGAGTTTTTGAAAAAGTATTTGGTACTTTTATCCTGATGGTTAAAACAGATGAAAAGCTAAAAACTCCTTCATGGGAAAAATCATTAAAGTATCCTCTTGGTTAAAACAGATGAAAAGCTAAAAACTCCTTCACGTGAAAAATCATTAAAGTATTATTCTAGCATATGTAATTATGCAAATGGTCAATTTTGTGGCAAATGAAGCTTACTTACTCTTGAAACCAAAGAAGTTTTATTAATTTATGCCACCATTGATTTCTCACCACCTTCTTAACATAGCCCCCATTAGTTGGCTTCATCTATGTAAATACCATCTGAAGAGTATAAGGATCTATTGAAATAACTGACATCCTCATTGGCATCACTTATTGACTCATAGAGCAATTATGAGACATAATTTGAGAGAAGAATAAACCAGCTGCTAACAATTAGTAAGTTCTGACATAGATGAAGAATCAAAACAGGAAGCTCAATTTTGGCAAAGAAGGTTTGGTAAAAGTTTGCAATGAACTTCCCTCTTAACACTGCCTTAGTTGTGTCCCAGAGATTCTGGCATATTGTATCATTGTTCTTATTAATTTGAAAGCATTTCTTGATTACTGCCTAATTTCAGTATTTACTCAAAAGCAATTCAAGAGCAGATTGTTTAATTTCCATGTAATTGTATGGTTTTGAGTGATGTTCTTAGTATTGATTTCTATTTTTATTGTGCTGTGGTCCAAGAATGTGGTTGGTATGATTCTTTTTGAATTTGCTGAGCGTTATTTTACGTCCACTTTTGTAGTCAGTTTTGGAGTATGTGCCAGGTGTTGATGAGAAGTATGTATATTTTGTTGTTTTGGGGTGGAATTGACAGTGGCAAGAGACAAATTTCTGGGCAGACAGGGAGGGGTCCTTGGTGAAACTTGACCTTCAAGCCAAGGACAGACTAAAGCCTGAAAACCAAGCTACCAGCTCCAGATAGAATCCACACTCCAGAGGGAGAACTTCCATCTCTGTCTTATCAACTCTTCCTCAATTGGTTCTTTCCGAATGATGCATTTTAACTAATCAAACAGTGCCTTTTCCAAGTCCACCCCTAAACCAGTCAGCATGCATTCTCCCATTGAAAGCCCATAAAAACCCTGGACTCAGCCTCACAGATGGCTACCCACTTTTAGGTCCCCTCTCACTGTCAAGAGCTTTTCTTTCACTTAATAAATTCTACTCTGCCTTACCCCCTCTCCAGTGTCTGTGTACTTTATTCCTCTTGGTTGAGGGACAAGAATCCGCAACTTGCCAAATTGTGGCAGTGAAATAGCTGTAACATTCCTGCTCACTGAGCTATGGATGGTGGGAGTAAAAGAGCTGTAACACTCCTGCCTTCTGAATTATGGGAGTAAAAAAGCCACAACAGAATGTTCTGCAGATGTATATTAGGTCCATTTGATCAAGGGTTGAATTTAGGTTCTGAATATTCTTGATTTTCTGCCTCCATGATCTGTCTAATACTGTCAGTGGGTTGTTGACATTTCCCAATATTATTGCATTGGAATCTAAGTCTCTTTAAAGGTCTAAAAGAACTTGCTTTATGAATCCATGTGCTCCTGTGTTAGGTGCATACATATTTAGGATAGTTAGATCTTTTTGTTGAATTGAACCCTTTACCATTATGTAATGCCCTTCTTTATCTTTTTTGATCATTGTTGGTTTAAAGTCTGTGTTGACTGATAAGGATTTCAACTCCTTCTTTTTTGCTGTTTTCCATTAACTTGGTAGATTTTTCTTCATCTCTTTATTTTGATCCTATAAATGTCACTGCATGTGAAATGGATCTCTTGAAGACAGCATACCATTGGATCTTGCTTCTTTATTAAACTTACCATTCTGCACCTTTTAATCAGAACATTTAGCCAATTTACATTCAAGGTTAGTATTAATATATGCAAGTTTGATTCTGTCATTGTGTTGTTAACTGGTTATTGGGCAGACTTGTTTGGTTGCTTTATAGTGTTACTGGTCTGTATAGTTAAGTGTGTTTTTGGCTAGTAATGGTCTTTCCTTTCCATGTTTAGCACTCTTTTCAGGAACTCTTGTAAGACAGGTCTGGAGGTAATAAATTTCCTGAGCATTTACTTGTCTGAAAAGGACTCTATTTCTCCTTCACTTATGAAACATATTGGCTGAATATAAAATTTTTGGTTGAATTTTTTAAGAATGCTGAAAATCTGCAAACTATGCCTCTGACAAAAGTCTAATATACAGAATCTATAAGAAACTTAAACAAATTTACAAGCAAAAACAAAAAAAAAACCTCATTAAAAAGTGAACAAGAGACATGAACAGACACTGTTCTAAAGAAGACATGCATGCAGCCAACAGCATATGAAACAATCCTCAACATCACTATCCATTAGAGTAATACAAATCAAAACCACAATGAGATACCATTTCCCAACAGTCAGAATGGCTATTATAGAAAAGTCAAAAAATAACAGTTGCCAGTGAGGTTGTGGAGAAAAGGGAACACTTATATACTGCTGGTGGGACAGTAAATTATTTCAGCTATTGTGAAAAGCAGTGTGGAAATTCCTCAAAGAACTTAAAACAAAATTACCATTTGACCCAGAAATTCCATTATTGGCTGTATACCTAAAGGAGTATAAATCATTCTACCACAAATACACACACACACACATATGTTCATTGTAGCACTATTCTCAGTAGTAAAGACATAGAATCAACATACATGCCAATCAATGGTATGTTGGAAAAGAAAATGTGGTACGATACTTTGCATTCTTCAATCCAGTCAAGTTGACACTCAATATTAACCATCACAAATCTGCCCCATGTCAACTTAAAACCATACACATTATTGAAATAGTATATAATCTCCAAATAAAGACAATAATAAGGTCATAATTACACCTAGCACAATACAGCTTTCCTTTGTATAACCAGAAATGAACCAATCCCCAACACAAATGCTATTACATTAACAAAACTTAAATGCTGATATGAAGTCAATAAATCTTATGTCACATGATATAAAAGGAAATAAAATGAACATATTTTCTTAATACAACACAAACATGTTCTTAACAACATAAGGAGGAAATACTCATGACAATTACAGTGCTCATTTCTGCAGCTGGTCATGTAGTTGTAGCAGGTATTGATGACTACCTTCTACTATCCATTCTGTATTCCCTTTGCCTTTAGCAGGCACCTCAGCAGGTCATGGAGTTTTACCTGCTGCAGTGACCCAAACCTTCATTCCTGAAGGGTCTGGGCCATTTGTAGTCCTGCCTGGATTGGGCTGTTGTAGTTTCCCATTGAACTTAATCAGGAGGCATGGTAATACTAAGAGACAGCCTACGAGATCTCCTGTATTCCACGCATACTCTTCCTTACCTTTATTGTGGAGTAGTAGACTGATTTAATCTTGATAGTCTGGGTCAATCACCCCAATTAAAGTTCCAGAATAGGCTGAGATCATTTTGGCCCCATTGGTTCCTCAGCCAAGCACATACACCAAATGTCTGAATCTGTGGTTCCTCTCATACTGAGCAGGATTACCAAGGCAACAACTATTGTTCCACCTGGGTGGGATTCTTACTTAAAGGTGTTCAGCCATAATCCCAAAGATGGTGGTACCATGCTTATTTTCCTAGTGATAAAATTATCTGTACACCAAACTCCTGTGACTCACAGTTTACCTATATAATAAACCTGCATATGTACCTCTGAGCCTAAAATAAAAGTTTAAAAAAAAACCTTAAAGTTAAAATGTCCTTCCATTGCTGCATCCATAATCAAATTAGGGTGCATCCATTCAATGGAATACCATTCATAAAGAAAGTATTGAAGTATCCACACATGCAAACACATGGATTGATCTTTCATAACTATTGCTATGTGAAGGAAGGCAGTATGAAGAAGCTACACACTTTATGTCCCTATTTATATGACATTCTGGAACTGGTGAAACTACAGAGATGGTAAACTGATCAGTGATTGCCTGGGTTGGGGATCTGAAGTATTCTTTGTGATACCTAAATGATTGACATCTGACATTATGCATTTGATAAGATCCATAGAATTTTACATCTCAAAGAATAAATAACAATCTATACTAAAAAAGAAGTGTTTGCCATAAGAAAAATCAATGTGCGAAATGACTGGCAACACTTTGGATTTATTCTCAGGATTGTTTTCTAAAATAAGCCCTTTGTTTTCTCATTCTTTTTGAGAGTCTGTAAAAAAATAATTTTAGCTTAGAGAAAATTAAGTAAGTGATCAAAGGTCACAGAAAATAGAAGCTTTACCTCCACTGATAGAATAACAGCTGATTTTCAAACTCTATGTCCAGAAGGCTTTGCCATAAAACACTCATTAGCTGGAGAAGAGCATTGTTTCACAGTTCTTGTACCTACCTAACATTTTTGTCAACACTGCCACTCCCTGACTCTCTCCCAACAGTTTGAAAATTTAGACCATTTTTTTTCTGTCAAAGGCTCACTGAAAAATGGATATTAGTCTATAACTTTGTTGTTATTTTTTCTCCCTAAGGAAAGGAAATATCCAGTATTAACTGTAAAACATTTATTGAGAAATCATACAAATGTTTACTTGTTTATTAAGTATTTGAAGTATTTTAAAGTGGCCCTTCTTGGTTTTCCTTTTCAGAGTACCTTGAGGAGAAAGTTTGCAAAAAGAAAGCTTTAAAGAAGTAAGAGACTGCTTATTAGAAAGATATATTAAACAGAGAATATGCATCAGACATTATGTTAATGCTGGGTAGAAAAGGAGAACACAATAGATATGACACTGATCTGATACTGATTATGGAGTTTATATTTGAGTGGAAAGATGGAACATAAACAAATATGTAAAGGTGAGTAATTTCAAAGTGATGTGAAATAAATAAAAACAGGGTAAAATGATTGACGAGCCTCATATTCTAAAAGAACAACTCATGAGTGAAGTAGCTGGCTTCATTGCTTACTACCACTTTTGGTTAACTCAGTGCAATTACTGTGATAAAAGTCATATTTTTCAAGGATCTTCAAAGTGTGAGAAAATAGGCAATTCTTAATAAGAAAGTAGTAGCCAAAATGAACAAATTCAATATATCTTCTAGTTCTTTCAATGTTCAAAATTGAAGATATACTAGAGGTCTTGTAAGGAGTATAAATGTCATAGGCAATATCTAGGCTATCCTCAACCCTTTTGACTTGTGGTTTGATTATACATGTATGAAGTTGTATTTCTTATTATGCAATAACCCCCATAAACATGGAAAGAAGGATTAATATTCATAATGTATCAAAATAGCTAGGCAAATGAGAAAAATATTCTTTGAATTCCTAAACTAATCTGCTAGAGAGGTTATCATTATAATTTTCTCATACAACTTATGAAATCATAGATGCTCAGAAATATTGAGCATCATGTACAAAGTCACACTCTAATAAACAGCAGAAGTAGGACTAAAATTGCAATATCTCTTCATTCAACGTCTGTTCCTTTAATTCTACAAGAAGCTGCTATCTTCTCCCAGTGTCAAGAGTTATGCCATAAATTTGTTATTTCTTAGTAGTGAGAGGAGCCCTACCATTTTGCTGCCTTGTGTTTCTCATTTTCTCTTGGTTGTAAAATAATCTAAATGAGGTCAATAGAATTTTTATTCAGAAAAATAAGTATAGATTTATTTCTATGGAATAGAAAACACAGGGACAGTGGTGAAGTAGTGCGTGTTTCCTAATTCATTCTCTATCTCACTCTGACCTCTTTATTCCTCTCTACTTCCCTTTTCCTGTCAACCTAAGCACCCACCCTTCAGGTTCCACTTTCACTAACTAGGAAATTTCATATTGCCCTGGGGTTTTTTTGGCCATAAATGCATTCTATACTAGCTGTCATACTTTACACGATCAGTTTGCCAATGTTTTTCATAGTTACAATTGTCTCATAAAGGTAAATTCAAATGAAATACATATATACCACAAAGCTGGGGATGGGTGGTAACGGCGTAATGAATTTGAAAAAGAGATTTGTCATTTTCTTATAAACTTAATATTAACCTAGCCTATACTGTTAGACTTTAACTTTTAGGGATTTAAATCAAGAGAAACAAAAATGTGTCCACAAAACCACTTGTCACTTGAGCAAAAATTATAATAGCTATAAAAAATAATGGCTATAACTTTAACAATCAACACATCCATCAACAAGAGAATTAGATGGAAAATATACAATATATTCAAGCAATAGAGTAATACAAAAGTAAATAAAAAATACTGATAGATATTCAACTTAAATCAAGTTTTAGAAAAAGAAAAACTGATACATAGAGTTAGAAATCACATCAGTGCTTGTTTGCAGTGGAGGTATAGGAACTTACTCCAAGAGAAGAAATATGTTTTGGGGTGATAAAAATGTTCTTAACCTTGATTAGTGTAATTATTACATAGGTGCACACATTTGTCAAAACTCATGCAACTCTATGCTTAAAGTATATACCTTTTATTGTATGCAATTATATCTCACTAAAGTTAATTTTAAAAATATCTGGAAGTTCTTGAAAATTTCTGACACTAACCAAATAATAGCTTTATTGTTTTGAATGTATGCAATATATACAGTTCAAAAAGAAAGATAATTTTTTTGGTTGACTTATATTCAGGATCAATTGTAATCTTTTTATGTTGGTTACTTTCTGCTTTATACACATAAAGAAATGGTTGAATTCATTCAGTTTTCAACAATCTGGGCCTGAGGTACAAAATAAAACTATAAAATATGATGTGAGGGTGAAATATGTTAAATTTTAAGAACAGCTTTTGAATAATTTTCTCAATAGTCTCTTTTATAGAGGATAACAGCATAATTTTTAGAAGTAGATTTAGAGCTTTAAAAGCCTCCAAAAAATGGGGATTCATCCTAGGATTCATATGATGACTGTATTAGGAGCATATTTTCTTTTTCTATTTAAACAAATGTGAGAGAGACCAAAATCTCAACCACAATTTATTATATGTGTACAGAAATAAAATTTCATGCACCACATTTGACAACTGAGAAAAAATACATTAAATCAGACTAACCTGGAATTTCTTGTATGCACTGTCATCACAGAAATGAATTTCTATGTTTTCTAATGTATTTTTGGTCTAGTGAAATTTATCAAACTGTGAAAGTTTAGCAAAGCAGGCAAAAGTTCATCATTCAAAAATATTTATTAGGTGCATGGTATGTGCAGAAAACAGCACTTCAAAATATTCAATACTCACAAAAGTACAAAAATTATACATCAATTCAGGTATCCATGCAATGCACATTTATAGAGGACTTCTATGGTACCAGGCTATATTAGAATTATCAAAGTTAATTAAACAGGCACAATCTCTGAACTTATGAGCTTTACAGTCATGATTTACCTTAAAGTCAAAGCCATTTTAATGATAAATGAATAAGGCTCTTTTCAGTCTCTTGTGTTTGTGTGTACTGTAATTCCATTCAAACTCTACTCCTTTTTTCGCTCTCCAACTAGTCAATATAGCATCTATTAAAACTAAATAAATAAAATGAATAAGGCAAAAAATTTGAATAAAAATAGTTTGATTAGATTGCTTTCTGCCCCTCCCTCCACCCTTGATGTTTTTTAATTCCCTCATTAGTAGCATTTTCCATAAATACCTGGAAACTAACTTCAACTGCTCTATAAAACCTGAGAAAGGCCTTAATATTATCTTTAATTTAAATTATATCACCAGAGTTCAGCTTCATAGAAAGATTTAAATGGCAAAAAATTAACAAAAGAGATTTTGAATTTAAAAAACAAATTTAATATTCCTTTCTACAAATTGGTGGCTTGGGTAATAACATAATGTGATACCTAATGTATTTAATTATTAAATAATAACATACGATTAAAATAAAAATTAGTTAATCTGGTTTTAGGAAGTAATGATAAAATCCAGGCATTTTTTTCCAGGGGCAGTAAATACAATCTACACTGTTTACAGTTACCTAGTGATACACAACATCAAGATAGCTTGTCAAGTTAACTAAACAGTTTCTTTCAACTTGTGATTTAAAAATCTATGAACAAGTCATTTTATCAATTTAGTAGGGCTCGACCACTATTAAAAAACATCAAATATGCATAGACTAGGATAGCAATATAAAAGTATATCACATATATTAAGGGTAAATATTATTTCATGAAACTTTTATTTTCATTACCCATAGATGGACAGGAGTTTCACATTTGGATTTTTAATAAAAGGACCTTGTAACTTAAGTGTAAAAAGAAAAATCACGAAGAGGAAGTAACTACACTTTTTATTATAGCCATTGTGAAGAGTTATTTCTTCGTATTTATATATAGCATAGACTAATATACAGATATAATACATGTTTATAAATGTACATGATTTCAACTTTGTGTTCTCAGTTCTAATTATAACAGTCTTTAGTATGGACTAATTAAATCTACTAATAACCCACAATCTTTATCTTAGCAAGATACTACAATTTCCTCCCCATAACATCAGTAGAATAACTGATTATTGGATGCAAACATGGTTGTCATGCTTTTTTCCTCTTCCGTCTTCCTGAATCCTGACTCTAGTGGTGATGCTGACAAGCAGGAAACAAGCTTAAGTAACTGTGTTAGTCTGTTTTCACACTGCTGACAAAGACATAACCGAGATTGGGCAACTTACAAAAGAAAGAGGTTTAATTGTACTCACAGTTCCACGTGGCTGGGGAGGCAAGTGATATCTTATGTGGTTGGTGGCAGGCAAAGAGAGAGCTTGTGCAGAGAAACTCCCGTTTTTAACACCACCAAATCTCGTGAGACCCATTCACTATCACGAGAACAGTGCAGGAAAGACCCACCCCCATAATTCAGTCACCTTCCACCGGGTTCCTCCAACAACATGTGGGAATTATGGGAACTACAAGATGAGATTTGGGTGGGGACATAGAGTCAAACCATATCAGTAACTTATGACCTGTATAATCAAGTCCTGAATAATGGGGAGGTAGCCACATTTTGAAAACCAATTATGTGTATTTATTTATGTCAATAATTTAGTGATGAAATTTGATTTGAATGTAGATTTAAAGCGGGTGGTCACTCGACTTTATTTTTATTGTCCTGTTATTTATGGAATAAATAGTGTGCTAAAGAGGTACAGAGGAACTCACAATGTTAACATGAAATACCACTATTTCCCAGAGCAATAAAGAAAACATAAATGCATTAACATCTTCAGCACAGACACTACACTCTCAATAGCTATCCATTTAGGCTAGTTATAATTACAAGAATACAAACAATCTGGCAAATTAAAGAAATAAAAATCAGAAACCACTTGCTGTGTTCAAATGGTGATATTTTTGAAAGCTGACAAGGTATCTAAAAATGGACTCCAAAATTATTCTTTACCAATAATTGTGTACAGAATTGTCACTTACTACATTTAAAAGTCATTTACTTAGCACATATTGAGTCATTTTTAGGACTCCTTTTCTGCATGTTAGTATTTCCCACCTGTGGCAAAGTTTCATCCTATGCTCCTCCACACTGTTACAGCTCCATGCACCAGATATTTGACTCATTATCTCTGTAACAACTCAGACTCTAACTGAATGGGGATAAATAAAGGCAATGTATAAATTAACACACAATAAGTTATTATCAAACAGTTCTGAGTATTAAAACTCTTCTGGATAACATTTGTTTTTTATTATTATTTTTAATTGACAAAAAAGAATTGTATATATTTATGGTATATGACACGATGCTTTAAAATATGTATATATTGTTGGTTTAGGTAAATATAATTAACATATGCATTACCACACATACTTATCAGTTTTTGTGGTGAGAATACCTAAAATATATTATATATTAATTATACATTAACTAGTTAATACACTGTTATTAACTATAGTCATCATACTGTACAGTAGATCTCTAGAACTTCTTCCCCCAACTGAAATTTTGTATATTTTGACCAACATTTACCCAATCCTTTCTTCCCATAATTACTGCCTTAAGTAAATGAAGTAATCACCAAATAAACTTCATGGTCAGTACTAATTGCAAGATCAATTGGGTCAGAAACGCATTCCAGCATCCCTCATAATTCACTAGAGTCTGTACCTCCTACAGGTAAGGATAATTCTGATTACAATGTTTCTCTGCTCACATTAAACAAATCGTGGTCTTATTAAAGTACTAAAATGACTCTATGATTTGGAACCCCATTATATTTTTAAGGATTTCCTTAGCTATGGAAAGGTAAAGTGCTTGACACTTAGCGCTCTTTCTACATTATAAAAACAGTTGCAGTAATGGGGAGTCAACTTGCTATCAGAATCAACGAGCATTCACAATATATTAAGGACTCTTCTTCAGGAATAAATGAGAGCCTCTTTAGGGACTTATTAAATGGCTGAGATGATATCAAAATATTTTTCATAAACATACATTATAGATTTACTTTCGTGTTTTAATTTGTAAGTAAAAATTTGGAAAACGGTCATGTCTTGTCAGACTATCACTTGTCAGACCATCACTCACAGAAACACATTTGTGGGCACAGTCAACTCTAAAGATATGTTTGGACTGGAACACATCCTGTTCTGATTTCCACACCATTCCCATGTATCCCAGAACATCATACACCACATTTTATACAGGCAAAATTGAGATAAAATAAATTTCAAAAGCTAATAAAGTGATATATGGAAAACACATAGAAATTTTCATCTTACGTGACAGTAGAGAATAATTAACAAGCTAATTAACATATATGGCTCTGATCTCTCCTAATACTAACGCTTCACTCGGAGGTACTTACTTTTATAGGCACTGGGGAAGTATATTTTTCCAAACTGTCACATCTAAACCACTTGCATTGATTCCTCAAACTCTGGGAACATAGGTGTGCAGATGACAGAGTCCCAAAATTAAGTTTTCCATTCACTGTCTATTACAGTTAGTATAATTAAAAAAAAGTAAGAAAAACATACAGTAAGAACTATGTAGTAGCAGTAAACTTTTAGTTCTAAAGCCCAAATAAAAGTCCTGCAAAGTATAGATCACATTAACTTTTTAGCACTTTTGTAATAAAAGTGACTTACTTCATTAGCATAGAGTGTAAATGCTGCCATCTTCCCCCATTTGCATGGGGGAATCGACCAACTGGGAGAAAATCAATGGATATTCAGAAACTCTTCTTTTTGAAGTAATTTTAAATTTTTTTCCTCTAATTAATCACTATTCACACATAATAGTAGAGAGTCAAATAACTTGTTTTTGAAACTTTATTACTTCAAAATTGCCCAAATTATCTAACACATACAGATTTCAATTTTGTCAAGTCCTGCCTCCCCAAATCATAAGAAATAAATTAAGAGAGTCTAAGTATTTTAAGACCAGTTGTCATTGTTTCTGTAACTGAAAAAATGGTGTCGTTTTGAAAAGTATGTTACTTATAGTCTAATGTGCCTTATACATTGATAAGGAAAAATAGTCACTAGCCAAGATGTAAAAATGGGTCAAGGAGTTGATTGTTAACATTATCAGACTTTATAACTTATACTACCACGATCTGCAAAGCTTCCCAAATTATGATCACAGGACAGGTTGGTTGGCTGTCATGAAGTTTGTGGCCTCAAACGCACACTGTGCAGGAACCAGTTTCCCCTACAAACAGAAAGATCCTGCCAATAGGCCTGGGTAATCAGGCCAGATTTTCCTTTTCAGGATTAGCTTACATTTAGGATCTTTAACATTTTTTCTGTCAGCAAATCTAGGTTTGGAGAAACTCAATCCATCAGAGACACTCAAGACAGTGCCTGAATATCTATTGGTATTCTCACAATTAGTTGGTTCTCCCATTCAAATTTACTTAATTATGTCTACTATGTAAGCAATAGGAAGATTCTTTAGATAAGTTTGTGTGTGTGTGTGTGTGTGTCTGTCTGTGTGTTTAGGTGAAGAGAATGTGTGATATTCTTCATACCTGGAATAAATAGGTATTGACAAAACCACGTTTTGTTTTTGTATAATATATAAGATTTTGAGTGAGAAAAAGACATTTGCCTCAATTTTAAAATATCACTTAATAGTTATGGTACAACTATGGGTAATAACCCATCAGAGCTAATATAATATTTAGCTGGCATTTCCTAAAGCAAATTCCATTAAACTTGAAATATTAATAAATATTATCTTAGAAATAGGTTTGTTTCATACTCACATATATTTTGGAAATGCTCAGTTATATAGACACAAATATGTTTCTTTAATGGAATATCTATTAAGTTATTTGATATTCTAATGTGTATTGTGAAAGTGCAAGAGTAGCATGAATAAGCTGAAACAATAAACCAGTTATGCTGAGAATTTCACATAATCCCTGAATACTCTTTGGTGAATTTTATGTAAGCTATCTACACCAACTGAATGAATATTTACTATTGAACAGATCATCATAATAGGTAAACCTCAAAAAGCAAAATCCTAAAAGGAGAAAAAAATCATGATAAAAACATTTAATAAGAGTCTTTTGTGAAATAGTACTTTTCCTCTTTCTCTCCTTCTCTGAGATTTGCAATTTAACAATGGCAACTTGGAAGGTTGCCAGAATAGTCCAGGCTCTGGACCAGAAAAACTAAACCCCAGTTCTCTGGAGAAAAGCACTGACTTTCCCAATGATTAAGTAATATTAATCAAACATTACACACACACACACACAAAACCAGAAAACAAATCACCATCAATTAGAGTTAAGAGAAACAACAAGCAAGAGATTTATAGACACCAAAGATTATAGAAATAGGGATAATTCAAATTAAAAAATTAATAAACCTTCATGAAATACATCAATTAAGAAAAAATGAATGAACAAAAAGACACAATGAAAAGGAATATTTAAAAAGTAACTGAGTTTGAACGTGTAAAAATGTAAAATTAAATTCTCAAAATTAAAAAAAATACATGGGACAATCAGCCTTGGCCTAGAGGCAAATGTCACACAGTACAAACATGATACCAAGGACTCTGCTTATAGATTTGTTTGAATAGAGGGTGATAGTTCTCAGAGAGGGGAGAAAAATCATGGACTGACTACAATTTCTCAGATATCTCTCGTTTGGTGAGTTTCATGTTCCACATTTTTTTTGTGGACAGGAAAAATTCTGAGTTTTATTATTTGATCCTCCAACTTTCAAAATCCTTACAAACAAAAATGTTTTCTTAATAGCTTCACGTGTATATTTCTTCATATCATGATATAACTTTGAATTAGGAATGCATCAGTATATAATGTTAAAGCATTAAATGTATCAAGTTTGCCTCTCCACTACATAACACACACACACACACAAATTAATTAATAATTTAAACTCTTTGAAATCTATGATTTGAATAGAGAGATGAGAAGAAAAATGACCAGTTCATTATATTATATAATCTAAGCTTTGTATATGGTTTTCTTTTTTTAAAAAAAGTAACTTGTAAGTTAAGAAAAAAGGTAATTGACAAAATACCAGTGCAAATTATAGACATAATAAAATTAAATTCTATGAGCCCAATTTCAAAGCAACAAGTATGAATAGCTTAACCAACTTTCTTGTTTCAGGTCCTTATGTGAACCAAAATTCTGTTGTTATTTATCACTTAATAGGAACCAAAAAGAGCCACAGATGTTTTGAAGAGCAGGATGCTATGAAGTACTGTTTTAAAAACCTTATAAAACACTTCAGTGAAATAAGAAGTCATTCATGTAGAATTGTTAATAACCCTTACTGCATTTAAACCACAATTTTCAAAGGAAAAAGCTGCTCCTCTGTCATAGTTTTATTGTTACTTACTTTTAAAAATCAAATATAAATACCTTTAATGAGAACATATTGGGAATAGCTATGTGCTATGCTCTGAATTAAGCATTAGGGCAAAAAATAGATGATATAAAAAGTCAAAAAAATTAAAAAAAAAAAAAACGAAAACAACTCACAGGATGGATTAAGCTACAGTTTAGTCATAGTTGAAAAGAAAATTTAGAACTAAACGATAGACCTGAAGAAATTGCCCAGAATGGAATATTGAGAGGCAAGTAGATGGAAAATATAAAGGTTTAATAAATGTGAACAAATGAAAAGGAGTACTGTTGGTATAATTGAAGTCACAGAAGAAAGCAATAAACAGAGTTAATGAATTATAATATTTGTCAAGAAATTTCCTAAGACTTCTGTAACTCTAATTAAATATAAAGAACCAGGAAATACAATGAATACTAAAATGGTAAAGGAAATTATGATATATCTAGAGACATTGTAATATAATTGCAAAACATTAAGGCAAAGGTTTTTTTTAAGTAGTTAAAAATTAATATGGGCTTAAAAATTATAATTATACTTAAAACAAACATCTCAATAATAATAAGGACAACCAGAAGACAGTATATAAAAAGTGTAAGAGAAAATAAATGTAAAAACAAAATTGTGTTCTCAAAAATTATTACTCAATAATGAGAACTAAATAAATTTTCAAACAACAGCCAATTTTATTACCAACTGACATGCTCTAAAATTCTTTCAATATTGCAAGAAGAGGAAAAATTAACCCAAAATGAATATTTGTGACAAAGGAAAAAATATTAAGCAAAGAAATTTATAGACTTAACAGGGGAATCTTAACAAATAAATTATCAGTGTAAAATAATAAAAATATGGTTTAACATGAATCAATGAAAAAGAAGTTTCTAAGGAAGGTTTTAATAAAGCACAAATCTTAGACATTAGACAAAATAGAATGTAAGTGATGAGAGGCTAAATTTAGGTTAAGTGAGTTAAAAGTCTTTCTATTGTATAGAAAAGATATTAAGGCATTATCTTCAGACCTTGTTATATCTGTGAGGTGAAAGGTCCTGGAAGGGGGTAACTACTAAAAAAATAGAAGTAAGGTATATAGCTCCCAAGGCAACAGAGCCAAAAAAAAATAAATAAAACCCAAAATAACTTGAGTAAAAGAAGAATAAAGAAAGAGATATAGAAAATTTTAAAATAGAAAGCAAAAATTAATATGTGCGAATATCTAAAAATGCCATATTTCTGATAAAAGTGAATGAGCTAAATATTTCACCTATAAGACAGAAATAATCAAATTTAAAAATATACCTATATGCTATATACAAAAATGCAGATGTGCAAAATTATTGATGCAATATAAAGTATGAAAAGAAAGTGAAGGTGACTACATTGATATCATATAAAATAAAATTACTAAGAAAAATCATTATTAATAAGAGAGAGTGTCATCTCATATAGTATACAGAATAATGGACCCCAAAGATCTCCACATCCAAATTACTGGAACCTAAGAACTTTTTAAATTATAAGGTCAAAATTACATTAAAAATATGTTTAATGTAGTAATGTTATCCTGGATTATTTAGTTCCTCTTAATCTAATCACATTAGTCTTTAAAAGTGGAGCATCTTCTTAGGTTGTAAGCAAAATAGAGATGTGTCAAAAGAGGATGCATAAAGAGAGTTCAAAAAAATTTGAAGCATGAGAAGGACTCAAACTGCTGTCACTAATTTGAAGATGAAGAGGGTCATGGTTTAGAGAATATAGGTGGCCTCTAGATGCTGAGAAAACCTCCCTGGCTGACAGCAAGGAATAAGGGATCTCAGTCATATACCTATAAGAAACAGAATTTAGTCCACAACCTTAATAAGCTTGAAAGTAGACTTTTCCTGAGAATCACCATTAAGGAACACAGTCCTACATCATCTTGATCTCAGCTGAGCCTCCTGAACTTCTGACTTAGAGAAATGTGAAATAATGAATGGTTGTTGTTTATGGTGAGTTGTTTTATGTCAGCAATAAAAAAAACCTAATAAATTTAGAATAACGAAATGACCAATTCATCAAGAAAATTTCATAATTCTGAACTTGTATGCACATAATGAAACCATCTTTAAATACACAAAACAAAACTTGCTAGAGGTGCAGAAAAATATTTACAAAGTCATCATTATAACATTTTTTTTAAAAAAGCTAACTAATCATAGATCTTACAAGATGGCATAGAGTTATTTCTCCCTTCTCTTATTTACTAAACACAACTTTATACCCTGGAAATAATCCAAGATGCAACCAAAAAAAAAAAAAAATTCTGAAAGGTGGTAAGAAGAAGGAAAACTGGTAAGGGACTCCAGAAATGGAGGAACAACAAAGAAGCAGGATGTCTTGGTCATCCCACCAAACAATGGAAGGCCTTCCAGGCCCAGGATTTCCTGACTCCAAATCTAACAGCAAAAGGCACCCTGGTCATTTTTTTCATCCTCGGGAATGAATAGAAGACCCTATGACATAAAGGGATCCTGGCATCTTGGGCCAGACAATTTGATTGAGACTCTTGGCAGGAAAGCATCCTGTCTCTTCCAGGCCTGAGACTTTCCCAATCCACATGCCCAGAATCACTAAAGCAGTGATTTCTATCTAGAGTTACTAGATAGAAAAAGAGACAGCGCTGAAAAATGAGAAACCTCTTCTTCCCCAAAAACCCAAGGCTATATTTCCATCCTACATAGAAACGAGGGTGAGAAGAACTAGAAAATGGGATACAGTCACAGCAAGCATGTTTACCCACAGGCTCAAGATTATCATCTCCGGCATAGAGACATCATAGTTGATGGGCTAGTGACACAGGTACAGCAACTGGCCCAAGGCAGAAAGCCTCTTTGTCCCTGCATGCTGAGACCCTCCTCCCATACGCAGAGATAGTTGGAGAAAGCATTGGGGAAATCCCATATCAAAACCATCCCCCACCAAGAGACATTCAGAAGCGTAGCTTGGAGAAGCTCCCTTAACGCCATTAGGCAGCACCAGAGGGAGCCATTGAGAATTCCAGTGGCACCACCACAAGGGCTCTTAAACTGTGCTTTGAACAGTAGCCCACAAAATAGGCTAAGACCCACCTATTAAATCCATGCTGCAATAAACATGGGAGTATAGGTATCTCTTCAAGATGCTGATATCAATTATTCTGAATATATGCCCAATAGTGGAATTGCTGGATTGTATGGTAATTCTATTCAGAACTTTTTCAGAGACCTCCATACTGTTTTCCACAGTGGCTCCAGCATTTTGGATTTTTACCCACAATGTATGCGTTTCCAATGTTTTCACATTTTCACAAACACTTTAACATTAGTTTTGTTTTTGATAATAGCCATTCTAACAAATGTGAGGTAATATCTGATTTGCATTTCCTTGATGATTAGTATTGTTGAGCATCTTTTTATGTACCTGTTGACAATTTGTGTATCTTCTTTATAGAAATACCTATTCAAGACTTGGATCATTTTTTAAAAATCTGGTTATTTGGGTTTTTTCTGTTCAGATATAGAAGTTCCTCATACATTTTGGATTAATATTAATCCCTTATCAGATACATGGTTTAAAGATATTTTCTCCCATTCCATAGGTTGCCTTTGCATTCTGTTATTTTCTTGGATGTGCAGAAGCTTTAGTTCCATTTAGTACCACTTTTTTCTTTGTTTTTATTGCCTGTGCTTTTGGTGTCATATTCAAGAAATCATTCCCAAGCCCAATGTCATGAAGATTCCCTCATAGGTTGACTTCTAGGAGTTTTACAGTTACAGGTCTTATGTATAAATCACTAATACATTTTGAGTTGATTTTTGTTTGTGAGATAAGATTCTACTTTTAATTTTTTTTGCTTGTGGATAACTAGCTTTTACAACATTTGTTGAAGAGTCTATCCTTCCCCCATTGTGTATTCTTGGCACCCTTGTTGAAGATCACTTGACCACATACCGATGGGTAGTCTTTTATCCCTCACCTGCCTCCTACCCTTCCCCTTGAGTCCCCAAAGTCCATTATATCATTCTTATGCCTTTGTATCCTCATACCTTAGCTTCCAGTTATAAGTGAGAACATACGATATTTGGTTTTCCATTTCTGAATTACTTCATTTAGAATAATGGTCTCCAACTCCACTTAGGTTGCTGTGAATGCCATTATTTTTTTTCCCTTTGATGGCTGAGTAGTATTCCATGGTGTATATATACCACATTTTCTTTATCTACTCTTTGGTTGATAAGCATTCAGACTGGTTCCATATTATTGAATTTTAAGTTGTGCCACAATAAATATGCATGTGCAAGTGTCTTTTTCATATAATGACTTCTTTTCCTCTGGGTAGATACACAGCAGTGGGATTGCCAGATCAAACGATAGTTCTACTTTTAGTTCTTTAAGGAATCTTCATACTATGTTCCATGGTGGTTGTACTAGTTCACATTCCCACTATCACTGTAACAGTATACCGTTTTCAACACATCCATGCCAACATATATTATTTTTTGATTTTTTTTATTATGGCCATTCTTGCAGGAGTAAGGTAGTATCTCATAGTGGTTTTAATTTGCATCACCCTGATAATTAGTGATGTTGAGCATTTTTTAATATGGAATGGGACTTCTAGAGAACTAGATTGCAGTTATTGTTATTTCTCTTCTGGGTCTAGCTACCCAGCAGGGCTACAAGGCGCCAGGCTAGTGCTGGAGAATGTCGGCAAAGAGTCCTGTGATGGGATCCATCTTCAGGTCTCCCAACCATGGATACCAGCACCTCCTCTGGTAGAGGTGGCAGGGCAATGAAGTAGACTACGTGAGTCTGGTTGTAGATATGTTAAGTGTGCTGGCTTTCTCAAATGCTGGCTATGCCAGCAGTGAAGTTGTCACATGAGCACACTCAGGAACTCTTTAACCAGGATGTTGCAGGAAGTCAAATTAGGTATTGTATTTTCCTTCCTGGGTCAGGGTTATTCTGTAATGAGTTGCTGTAGTGGCCTGTGTTCTTTGTCCTTCAGCAAAGAGGTGGTGCTTTTTGGAAAGCACCAGCTGCAGCAGTAGTGGGGATTCTAAGCTTGCCCTAAGTTGGCTAGGGTGATTATTTTGATTTCTAAGGAGATGGGCAGGGCTATAAAGCTCCCAAGAGTTTCTGTCTCTTGTGTTTGGCTATGAGGGCAGGTAGAGAAATACCATCAGGTGGGCAAGGTTAGGCAGATCTGGGCTCAAACTCTCTTTAGGCAGGGCTTGCCACAGCCACTTGGGTGATTTAGCAGTGGTTTTCAGTCCAGTGGGGTTATGTTCCAGAGGGGATCTTGGTCATCTCTGCTGTGTCATATAGTTCACCAGGGAAGTGGTGGATAGGCTATAGAGAGAGGCCTCACCTAGCTTCCATGCAGTTCACAAAGCCAGTCTGAGTCCCCAAGTGCCCCATTCAGACCTTGCCCCAAGCTGTGGGCTTCCCTGCTGAGAACGCAAGCATAGCTTTCTTTTTCAAACCTTGCTCCTCCTCATCTGCCCACTTTGTCTGGGCAGCTGCTGCACTCCTGCACTTTTATCTGCAGCGGCTCTTGAATGTTCCCCAGACTCCACTGAAAAAAAATTGTTCCCAGTCAAAACCACTACCAATTTTAGTTGGATGCTTCCTTTGCCATGAAACACCTCCCCAATTCTGCTGACTGTTTCCTGAGGGGCTCTGTGAGGTATAGTCAAGGATGGCTTCCCTGGGCTCCAGCTGGAGACTGTGAGTATCTGCAAGGCACTTCCCACTGCTACTTCTACTTTCATATTTCACACAACTCCCTAAGTCTGTTTCAGCTCTAGGTAAGGGTAAATCCTTCTTGCATGATCTAGAGTTTTAAATTCCCCAGTGGGGATGTGTTTTGGAGATAGGTTTACCCCCTCTCACACTTTGGGAAGTCAAAGTTTTTCACCTGTTTCACAGAATTTGCAGCAGTGCACTGCTTCTTTCAAAGGATCTGTGAATTATTTTCTTTTTCCATTGTTATTCTATTCTCTCTTTCAATTATTTCTTCTGTAACCTGTACTACTATATTGTTCCTTTTGTTAACTTTTGGCTTAGTTTTTTTGTTTGTTTGTTCATTTGTTTTTTAGTTCCTTGAGGTTAAAAACTAAATAGTTTGTGTAGACTTTTCAAAAGACACCCTGTCATTTACAACAACATAAATGAAACTGGAGGTCTGGTTCAGAGTATCAGAATGACAAATTTGTCATGTTCTCAGTCATTTGTGGGAGCTAAAAATGAAAAGAAAAAAAAACTAATTAAGATACAGATTAGAAGGATGGTGACCAGAGTTTCAGAAGGGTAGTGGGGAGGTAGGGTATCAGGCAATGATTAATGGATACAACAATACGGTTTAGGTAGAATGAATAAGATCTAGTATTTGATAGCACAACAGGGTTACTACAGTCAACAATAATTTATTGTATATTTTTAAATAAAACAGTAAAATTGCCATGTTTGTAACACAAAATAATGATAAATGCTTGAGGTGATGGATACACCATTTACCCACATGTTATTGCTACACATTGTATACCTTTACCAAAATATTTCATGTATCCAATAAATATATACCAACTATGTACCCATAAGATTAAAAATTAAAATATTGAATAAATAAAAAAAGATTAATCACTAATTTCTCATTAGAAACCATGATCCAAGGGGTAGTAGAATGAAATATTTAAAATGTTGAAAGAAAAAAGCCATGTAAAGCAAAAATTCTATATCTACCAAAAATCACCTTCAAGAATGTAGGAGAAATTAGGACATTCCAAAATGAACAAAAGCTGAAAGACTGTTACTAGCAAACATGACTCATAAGAACAGGTAAAAGATGAAATGAAAGGTCAGTAGAGAACAAATTCAAGTCCTATGAAGAAATGAAGAATACTAGAAATGATAACTACACAGGAAAATATAAAGGTCATTATTATTGTATTTTTGGTTGGCAACTCCACTTTCTTCCTATATGATATAAAAGTCAAATAAGATAATAATAATAAATCTATATTAATTAGTACATCATAAATAAACAAAATGGCAACATAAATTAGGATGGACAGAGAGTTGTGTGGGAGCACCATTTTTGTGTAATATTGAACCTAAGTTGGAATTAATTTAAATTAGATTTCTATAAATTTAAGATGTTCATTGTAATCCTTCAGGTAACCATTAAGAAAAAAACAAGAATATGTATATACAAATAAAAGCAAGTAAATATAAAATAAACACACAAAAACGTAAATGAGAAGGGAATCAAAATGTATACATAAAAATAATTAAGCACAAAAGAAGACAGTAATAAACAAATGAAAGAACATAAGAGATACAAAACCTACAGAAAATAAACAACAATATGGTAGCATTCAGTTTTTCTTTAACAATAATTAATTTAAAACTGAATAGGTTAAACTCTCCAATTAAATGGTAGGTATTAAAGAAATGTATAAAATATACATAATTCAACTATATGTTGACTACAAGAGATTTACTTTATTGTCTCCTCAGCTTTATTAAAGTATAATTTCCAGATAAAAACTATATATTCAAGATATATTACTTTATATCCAAAAACACAAATGCGCTGAAAGAATGGAAATATATACTCCATGCAAATATTAATCAGATGAGAGCTAAGGTAGTTATACTCATACCAGGCAAAATCAACTTTAACATCTTTACATGAGACAAAGAAGGATGCAATATAATAATAAAAGTATCAATTCATTAAACATTTATAATAATTATAAAACATATATACACACACAACAGAATCTTAAAAAAGATGTGGTCAATTTTGGGAAAAAATATCAAAGATGATATCTTTAAATACAATATTAGTTAAAGGCTTCCATAGTCTACTTTCAGAAATAAATACAGTAAGATAGAAGAAGATCAGCGAAGAAACTGAGGACTTGAAAAACCATAAACCAAGACCTGTCTGACCTACAGAGAATACTTCATGCAAAATCAGCAGAAAACACATTTTCCCAAGTGCACATGAATCTTAGTCACGGAGATACCATCTGCTGACACAAAACAATGCTCAGTAAATTTTAAAAGATTGTAACATACAAAGTAGTTTACCTGATCACAATCGATTGAAATTAGAAGTGAACAACATAACAATAATTAGAGATTTCACAAACACACGAAAATAAAACAACCCACTCTTGAATAACTATTGAATCGAAAACAATTAAAAAATAAAATTAGAAAATACTTTTAGATAAGTGAAAATAAAACACGGCACACCAAAACTTATGTGATGCACCATAGGCAATACTTTAAAGAAAATTAAGAACTGTAAATGTATACATTAAAAAAGAGAAAGATCCCAGATGAATTACCTAACTTTACCCTATAAGGAACTAGAAAATGAAGAGTAAGATGAACCAAATTACAGCAAAAAGAATAAAATAATATAGAGTAAAAATCAATAAAATAGATAATAGCAAAAAATAGAGAATATCAATAAAACAAAAAGTTTATTTATTTGTCTGTTTAGTAATCTAAACAATTAAATTTCTTTGACTAGTAGACTAGTTCAGCGAAATCTATTTCCCCTGAGTGTCTAATATCACTTATCAGGTGGTGAAGTTCTGGTTATGTGCACAGTTACCTTGGTATGAGACCAGTTTTAGAAGAACTCTCTTTAGCTGTTTCTAGAGCTTCATTCCTTCAAGATATTCTTGCCTAGAATAGAGCTTCTGCCACATGAAATAGAGCAGATTAGAAATGCTTGTAGCCTGCCTCTATGAGGTACATATTATATTATAACCCTAGACTTGGGGCAGGGCACAGGGCAAGCCCTGATTTCTTGGCTATACCAATCTGGGTCAAATGTCCCAAACTCCTTGCTGCTCTTACCAAAGGTTAGTATATTTTCTTGACTAATATTTCTCCACTTGTTGCATAAAGTTAGAACAATTTCCAGAGACCTTATATGATAGTTTTTACTTATTTTTATTTTCTCTAGTCTTTTCATTTTTATTCATTTAATTTTTATGTTTTGATTCTCAACTATTCTGTTCCCTACATGTGCAGACAAAAGTCAGATAATATGCATGCATGAATAAAAGAAATTGAATATAGGTTTCAGTCAGCCATTCTTTCGAGCAAGACCGTGCTGAGAGGAGGAAGGCAAGGCTAAGGCCTTGGACCTCTGCAGTGGGGCAGTTCTACTCTAACATAGGTGTGGAGGCCCTGGAATGTGCAATTTCTTCCTTTTTTTAAAAACTTTCATTTGAGGTTCTGGAGTTACGTAATGGTTTATTATATAGGCAAACTCTTGTTACAGGGATTTGTTGTACAGATTATTTTATCATCCAGGTATTAAGCCTAGCATCCAATAGTTATTTGTTTCTCTGCTTCTCCCTTCTCCTACCCCTCATCCTCAAGTATACCCCAGTGTCTGTTTTTCCCTTTTTCGTGTTCGTGAGTTCTCATAATTTAGCTTCAATTTATAAGTGAGAACATGTGGTATTTGGTTGTCTGTTTCTGTGTTAGTTTGTGAAGAATAATAGCCTCCAGCTCCATCCATGTTCTGGTAAAAGGCATGGTCTTCTTTTTTATGACTGCATACTATTCCATAGTGTATATATACCACATATTCTTTATCCAATCTGTGATTGATGGACATTTAGTTGACTCCATGTCTTTGGTATTGTGAATAGTGCTGCAATGAACATTTGCGTGCATGTGTCTTTATGGTAGAATTACATATATATATATATATATATATATATATATATAGATATATATAATTCTCTCTCTATATATAAATATATATATATAGATATAATTCTATATATCTATATATAAATATAGATATAGATATAATTCTATATATCTATATATAAATATATATATAGATATAATTCTATATATCTATATATATAAATATATATATAGATATAATTCTATATATCTATATATAAATATATATCTATATAAAAATATATATATTTTATATATATATATTATATATATATATATTCCTCTGGGTATTAGTTCAACCATTGTGGAAAGCAGCATGGAGATTCCTCAAATCTCTGAAAACAGAACTACCTTTCAACCCAGCAATCCCTTTGCATGATGATTTTGAAATAATTTTTGTTATTTGTGATTGTTCCTCTAAGGACATTCTTGGAGTTCTTCATGCCACTTTTCTGGCTTATATAACATGTTTGAAATTATAACATTTTAAAAATGGGAGACAGAATGGTAGTTGCTAAGGATTAAGACAGAAAGGAGGGTGGGAGTCATGAGTTTGTCATTATAAAAGGGCAATGCAAGGGATTCTTGTAATGTTAGAGCAGTTGATCATTTTGACTGTAGCGTGAACACATAATTTACAAGTGTGACAAAATTGTATACAGGTCAGCATGCACAAAAACATACAAAGGCCAGGCATGGTGGCTCACATCTGTAATCCCAACACTTTGGGAGGCTGAGTCGGATGGATTGCTTCAGGCCAGTAGTTCAAGACCAGCCTGGCCAACATGGCAAAACACCGTCTGTACTAAAAATATAAAAATTAGCCAAGCTTGTTGGCACATGCCTGTAATCCAGGTACTTGGGAGGCTGAGGCAGGAGAATCCCTTGAACCTGGGAGGCGGAGGTTGCAGACAGCCAAAATCACACACCACTGCACTCCAGCCTGGGTGATAGAGCAAGACTTTGTCTCAAGAAGCAAAAAAGAAAAGAAAAAGAAAACATACACGAATGAGGACAAGCAAATCTGGGAAAATCTGAATAAGATCAATGAATGTTATCAATGTCAAAATTCTGTTTGCAATATTATACTATAATTTTGCACAATGTTATCAGGAAGAAACTGGGCAAGATTTATAAAACCATCTCTGTGTTATTTTTTCCAACTGCCTATGATTCTTCGAAAATATCAATAAGTATTTCAATTGTGAAAAGCGTTAAGTATTT
Source organism: Homo sapiens (assembly GCF_000001405.40). Classification (NCBI taxonomy): domain Eukaryota; kingdom Metazoa; phylum Chordata; class Mammalia; order Primates; family Hominidae; genus Homo; species Homo sapiens. The sequence goes on along the minus strand of NC_000024.10, from coordinate 3,115,721 downwards.
CAAAATAGCCATAGCTATTTAAAACTAGTAGTTAACACTTGATCATGTCACTTTGTATAATTCATATCAGAAACTGGCTGAAGTTGGTTATATTTTTCTTATGTATATTAATAGCACTTGTAATAACTTGTAATTTCTTATGTATATTAATAGCACTTGTAATAAAAAGAAAAGTAACTTTGTTTGACTCTCGATTTTTTTTCTTCTGAACATGGCAATATAACTTTATTAAAAATAGTGTTGAAATATTTAACAAGACAGCAAAAAATTTACTTACATTGAAGAGTGCCATGGAATATAGCATAAGCTTAACTTAGGAATTTTATGGCTTCAATGCATAGATACATATAAAAGTCCAAAAACAAGGTAAGTATCTAACTTAAAAACTTAAAAACCACACAGATAAAACCAAGTAAACAAGAATAAAAGAAATAATAAAGTATATAGCAGAAATTCATGAAAAATAAAGCAAAAGCTCAAAGTGAAGCTGTAGAGAAAATATTTTTGTTTCTGCATGCTAGGTTTTTTTTTAGTAAATCGTACTAAAACTTGGAATCTGAACTTATCAACAAGTCTAGAAGTTAAATTATGACAGATAATAGTGACAGACCACCTACAAGTAGTTTCCTTCTGAAAATATATATGTTGAGATTTCAAAGGAGAATGAAACTTTGGATTATAGAGAGATGTCTTGGGTTATAAAGATGGAGACATTTTATAAAGACACTAGTCTCATTTTTCTACTGGAGAAACTTATTTACATTACAAAGTGTGAGAGTAAAAACTAAGAATTCTTCTCAAGGAGAAAAGTATTTTTCTCCTTTCATTAGGGGATGACAAGAAACTCTCTCTTCTATATAAATGCCCAGATTTATACTTTTGGTATTTTTTACCTACTCCAATATGCACATGATGACATTTGTCTCTCATAGTTTTATGCTAGGGTTAAGCACTGAGGCAAAGGGAAATTAGCATAGCTACTATTATGTATATAATAATAATAAACCTGCCCTTATCCAGAAGCCTGGTATTTGCATTCAAAACAATATTAATATAATTATTAAAAATATAACACTAACACATATAAAAATTTGGTTCTTTGAAAAGATTGATAAAATGTTTAAACAAATAGTTAAGAAAAGTAAGAATTCCAAAGAAATACTAATACTAATGAAAAGATATAACCACAAATAGAGAAGAGGTTTAAAAGAGAATAAAAACATAGTATGAGAATACTGATATCTGTAAATTTGAAAACTCAGATGATATGGACAAATATCAAAAACTGATTTAACAAGTAGGAAACCTGATTTAGCTTAATTTAAAAAAAATCTTCACACAAAGAAGATTTTTTGGTAGGTCTAAATAATCTTCATGATCAATGCCAGATTCCTGTTTATTGGGGTCTTCTAATCATCCAAATTTTGGTGGCTTATCTAAAATTTGGTAGGGCACTATTACAAAAATTTGAAGGGAGAAATAATTCCAATTTTATATATACTAGTCAAAGAAATTGGAAAAATTAGATTATTCTTCAACTATGCTATAAAAAATAAAATCTTAATACCAAAATGAAACTTACAGTATTAAAAAATATAGACCCATGTTACTTATGAATTTAGAAGTAAATATTCTGAATAAAATATTAGTAAACAGAATTGAATAAACCCTTAAAAATATAGTAAATCATGACCGTTATGGTTAAAGAGTGATTTTATATAAGCAAATTTTCAAACATCATTCACCGCTTTAAGAGACTTGATGAAAAAATTGTATGATAATATCAAGAGTTACAGAGAAAGATTGAAGGTCAGTTCACTTAAAGTATAAGGAACAACAGTCAAGGAAACATTAACAAGCAAAATTTCTTGGCTGAAATAAAAACTTAAAAGGTTTTAATGGTCATCACAAATCAGATCTCAGACATCAACAGCAATCATCATTCATAATGGTAACCTAATAAAATTGTGCTCATTTAAATGAGGAAAAATAGAAGAAAATTCTCTATCTTCACTTCAGTTCAACCACATCTTGGAAAGCTCAGCCAGTTCACTACATCAAGAAAAATGCAAAGAAAAGCAGTAATGCATTATATGCATCTGATATTATTGTATGAATAGAAACACTAATAGAACTACAGATGCTCTATTAGATTTAATTAGAAAGTTTAACCAAAAAATCATAATCTAAAAATTAATAGCAATTGTCTACTCCAATAATTAGGAAATTCACTTTAAATATTTATTTAAGATAGCAACAATAACCCTGAAAAGATCTAGAAAAGTATAAAGTTTTATTCATTATCAACAAGAAACATCTATATAAATAGAGAGGCATAAAAATAAGTCAAATCTCCTCTCACTTATTTTTATAATAAGTGATATGACGAACAAAATTTGAACAGAATTTGAAGGGCACTTGGAAATTAATTTCTGAAATTGATGTGGGAGAGGAAGCAAAATGACATACACATTAAACTGTAAAAATAGTTAAGCTATTAGCACTATTTTGGGAACATAAATCAGTACATATAAACGTATTGCATTTCTGTACAACAGCCACAGATCTGGAAAGTATAATTTAAAAAAACTATCACTTACAATAGCAACATGCTGATTCTAAAACCTATATGGAAAGAAGTGATTCTAACATATACAATTGTATGTTGAAAAAGAAAATATCGTGGGAGAATTCAACCTTCAATATATCAAAGTACATTATAAAGTTATTGTATTTGTCAGGGTTTACCAGAGAAACAGAACCAAGTATGAGCTAGTTGATAATGATGATAACGATAGATAGATAGATAGATAAATAGATAGATAGATAGATAATAGATAGATATAGATAGATGATAGATAATAAATAGAGACAGAAAGAAAAGAAAATCAATTATAGAAAATTTCTTCATGCAATAATGAAGGTTGAGAAGTTCCATGATCTGTTGTGTGCAATCTGGAGACCCAGAAAAGCCAATGACATAATTCACTCTGAGTCAAAGACCTGAAAACCAGGGAAACTGAATCCCAGTTCAAGAGCCTTAGAAGATGAGATAAGATGCCCCAGCTTAAGTAGGCAGAGAGGAAGAAAATGAAAAAGTGAATTCCTCCTTCCAGGAATTAAAATGTTAATTTAACACTCAAACACCCTCATGACCACAGCAAGAAATTATATTTCATTTGGTCACCTCATAGCTCATCAAGTTGACACATAAAATTAACCATCACAATTACTTATATGTAACATAGAGAGTAGTAGTAACACAGAGATAGATCCATTAGGAAAAGATGGACTGATTATTCAATAAATTGTTATCACACACTCAGATATCCTTATGGAAAAATCATTCAAAATCCAAATTTTATAAGATTAATAAAAATCAACTTTGAATATATTATGGATTTAGATATAGGTGACTTTTAATCATTTAGCCATTGTATCATCAACTTCAGAAACATTTCTGCCAATTTTTAAGTCATTTTTACAGGCTCATTACCAATAATTCGCTGAAGCAAACTACCTATTTATATACACCCTGGGTTTCACTGTATATGTTAATTCACTCACAATAGTAATAAATAAGTTTCATTTATATCTACTACCATGTCACCCAGCTGTATACTCTTTTCTCCACCAGCTTCTGTGGCTCTTGCTCTCTATCACATAATTACATTACTAGCTTATAAGTGTTCATCCAGCACTCACAGGCCCCAGAGGCCTGCTGCTTAAAAGAGGTACTAGTTACCCATAGGACCTATAGCAATGGTATCAGAACGGTTTCTACCTCCACCACTGTGGTCTCCATCCATGGGAGAAGATCCCAATAAACAGTAATCTGGGCCAGGCGTGGTGGCTCACACCTGTAATCCCAGCACTTTGGGAGGCCAAGGTGGTCGAATCACTTGAAGTCAGTAGTTTGAGACCAGCCTGGCCAACATGGCAAAACCCCGTCTCTACTAAAAATACAAAAATTAGCCAGGCACAGTGGTGTGCAGCTGTAATCCCAGCTACTTGGGAGGCTGAGGCAGGAGAATTGCTTGAACCCAGGAGGTGGAGGTTGCAGTGAGCAGAGATGGTGCCACTGCACTCCAGCCTGGGTGACACGGTAAGACTCCATCTCAAAAATAAAAACAAAAACAAAAACAAACCAGTAATCTGGCACTGATCATGTAGAACACTGAATACAATACTGTATATATTCCCCCATGCCCCCAAAGCAGCATTGATGTTCTATTTGCCATATACATCACACCTGACCTACCTACTCTGCTCACCTCTGGGTTTCTGTTGAGGTTCTGATTTTTATGTTTTAAATGTATATCTGTCTTCACAACTATTGAAGCATAATTAAACTTTTGAAAAAATGTACTTACCAATGAAACAGAACAGGATGTTTTAAAAGTTAAAATGACACTCCAGCCTGGGCGACAAGAACGAAACTACATCCCCCCAAAAAAAAAAAAAAAGTTAAAACAAAATAAGTAAAAGGCAGAACTTTAGAACTTTCAGAAGAAAATATAGAGATATCTTTATGCTTTTGGGAGTAGAGATGGATTTCATGAGCTAGACCCATAAGAAAATGCTGCAACTGACTATATTACATTAAATAATTATTTTTATTATAAACACCATAAAAGGAGACAAAAATGACAATTCACAAAGCGGGTGAAAATATTTGCAATATTTATCACTTAAAAAGTCATCCCTATAAATTATATAATACCTGAAAATCAAAAAGAAAGGGACAACATACATAATTTTTGGAAAAAATAACAAAAACAGGAAAAGGAGTTACATAAAATAGGAAAAAAAGGTGTCAATATATACCTGAAATAATGCTGGAACTACTACTAATTAGAGAAATGTAAATCAAATCTACAAAGAAATATTTTAGCATGTTCAAAAGTCAGCCATAAAAATTATAAGTTTTAAGATGTCAGGTACACACCTTGACACGTATAGATTAAAGGAAACTGCTATAGACTCTTCATAAAAATGTAACTTGTACAAACAACTTAGCAAACAAATTGGAATTATCTTGTAAAGCTTAAAATTGAGGAATCTTACTCTCAGGTGCATATCTCAAAAACGTGTGTCTGTTTGCAAGTGACGTGTACACAAATGGTCAGGAGACCATTTGTATAACAATCAAAACCTGAAAACAACCCAAATGATGATCAATCAGAGAATACATAAATACATTGTAGTACGTGCACACAATGAATTTTACTACCACAGTAATATTAATGGGGCTCATGCATCAATCTAGATAAATGTTAGAAGCACAATTAAAACCACAAATCATAAAATTGTATACAATTTTAAAATGGTAAGCTGAAGTAAATTTTCCAAAATAAGGTCCACAGATTCATCTATAAAGTGAGAATATATACAAAATTTTGGATAGTCATTATTTTAACAATAAGAGGCATGGCTAGAACCATGTAAGCTTAGAAACTTGCATGTTATTGTTGTATAGGAATGCTACTGATTTTTGCACATTGATTTTGCATCCTGACACTTTGATGAAGTTGTTTATCAGATCAAGGAGTTCTTGGGCAGAGACTATGGGACTTTCAAGGTATAGAATTATATCATTGGTAAAAAGGGATAGTACGACTTTTTCTCTTCCTATTTGGATGGCTTTTCTTTCTTTCTCTTGCCTGAATGCTCTGACCTGGACATCCAGTATTATGGTAAATAGGAGTGGTGAGATTGGGCATCCTCGTCTTGTTCCGGTTTTCATGGGGAGTGCTTCTAGCCTTTGCCCATTCAGTACGATGTTTGCTATAGGCTTGTCATAGACGGTTCTTATTATTTTAGAGTATGTTTCTTCAATGCCCAGTTTGTTGAGGGTTGTTAACATGAAGAGACGTTAAATTTTGTCAAAAGTCTTTACTGCATCTGTGGAGATAATCATGTGATTTTTGTTTTTTTAGTACTGCTTATGTGGTGAATATCATTTATTGATTTGCATATGTTGAACAAACCATGCATCCTAGGGATAAAGCTTACTTGATTATGGTGGATTAGCTTTTTTATGTGCTGCTGGATTTGGTTTGCTAGTATTCTGCCGAGGATTTTTGCATCAATGTTCATCAAGGATATTTGCCTGAAGTTTTCTTTTTTTGCCGTGTCTCTACCAGGTTTTGGTATCAGGATGATGCTGGTCTCAAAGAATGAGTTAGGGAGGAGTATGTCGTTCTCAATTTTTTGGAATAGTTTTAGTAGAAATGGTACCAGTTTATTTACATACACACACACACACACACACACACAGATATACACATCTTGTAGAATTATGCTGTGAATCCATCTGGTCCTGAGCATTTTCTTGTTGATAGGCTTTTTACTACTGATTCAATTTTGGAAATAATTATTGATTTGCTCAGGGATTCAATTATTTCCTGCTTCAATCTTGAGAAGTCGTAGGGTTCCAGGAATTTATCCATTTCTTCTAAGTTTTCTAGTTTGTGTGCATAGAGGTGTTCACAGTAGTGTCAGGGTTTTTTGGGTTTGTTTTTGTTTTTGTTTTTGTTTTGTATTTCTGTGGGGTCAGTGATAATGTCCCCTTTGTCATTTCTGACTGCATTTGTTTTAATATTTCTCTATTTATTTATTAGTCTAGCTAGCAGCCTATTTTATTAATTCTTTCAAAGAACCAACTCCTAGATTCGTTGATTTGTTGGTGTGGTTTTTGTGTCTTAATTTTCTTCAGTTCAGCTCTGATTTTGAGAATTTCTGGTCTTCTGTTAGCTTTGGGGTTGGTTTGCTCTCATTTCTCTAGTTCCTCAAATGGTGATGCTCGGTTGCTCATCTGATATCTTTCTAACTTTTTGATGTGGGCATTTAGTGTCATAAACTTCCTTCTTAACACTGCTTAGCGGGGTCCCAGGGATTCTGGTATGTTGTACCTTTGCGTTAGTTTCAAAGAACTTCTTGGTTTCTCCTTTAATTTCATTATTTATCCAAAAGTCATTTAGGAGCATGTTGTTTAATTTCCATGTAATTGGGTAGTTTTTAGTGATTTTTTTTTCAGGCTTGACTTCTATTTTTATTGCACTGTGATCCAAGAGTCTGTTTGGTATAATTTCAGTTATTTTGCATTTGCTGAATATTGTTTTATGCCCAATTATGTGGTCAATTTTTGAGTATGTGCCACGTGGCAATGAGAAGAATGTATATCCTGGTTTCGGCTAGAGAGTTCTGTAAAGGTCTATCAGATCCATTTTGTCCATTGTTGAGTTTAGGTCTTGAATATCTTTGTTAATTTTTTGCTTCTATGATCTGTGTAATACTATCAGTAGAATGTTGAAGTCTCTCACTATTATTGTGTCGTAGTCTAAGTTTGTAGGTCTCTAAGAACTTGCTTTATGAATCTGGGCGCCACTGTTTTGGGTGCATATATATTTAGGATAGTTAGGCCTTCTTGTTGAATTGAGCCCTTTAGTGCTATGTAAGACTCTCCTTTGTCTTTTTTGATCTTTGTGGGTTTACAGTCTGTTTTATCTGAAATTAGGATTGCAACCCCTGCTTTTTTCTGTTTCCCATTTTCATTCTCCCCAGCAAAGCTTTTGGACTGGAAAACTGACCTAATTTCTGACTGTTCCCTCCCAGTGTCACTTGTCCACATTATGCCATGCTCTCTGGCAGCTGTGTTTCCATACAGCTCTTATGGAAATTACATTTAGTTTTTTAAAATATAAAATAGAATAGAAAATATAAGTGAGGCTAGAGCTGCATTTGAGTAAATGTTTTTATCTACACAATTCATATTACAGTGCAGGAAAATTCAATGGCCTATCACATAATAAAGTTAACAAATTTAACTGAATCATCCAGATAATTCTGGGTAAGGTATTTGTCTCTTATCTTCAAATGCTACTAAAAAGTAGAAATAACTATTATACTTTTAACTAATAAATTTAAAAATTATAAATGACTGAAATTTGGGTAAAAGGAACTTTTGCATCTCACATGTAATGATCTAGGAGGATAGTGCAATGTATGTATCACAATGAAGGGCATTCTGTGCAAAAATTAAGAGAAATGAATGGGAGAGTCTACCATCCCCACTTTCTTTCAGGGGGAATATATAATGAGCTGAATAAATCTTAAGAGATCATATACAATCTTAATATCACAGATTGGATGGAATGATAAGGTGACCAAGGTGTTGCTGTGTGCTGTGTGTGAAAATCTGCACTTTATTATCAAACGTCAATTGATGTACATGGTGCAAAACGAGGTGTGATTTTTCTTCCATTAGAGCAACTTAATTATGTTCATTTTTTAAAAGGTATATATATACTTTCAATACAATATTATCTGGGAGAAGCCATTCATTCAGATCTTTGTATTATTATAATATTATAGTTATAACTAATTATAATGATAACCTTTCCACATCTAGAATTATTCATTTATTTAAAATCTTAATATATGTACATTTTTCCTATGATGAGGCCACAAAAGATAATAAATGAGAAAGAATTATGCTGAGCGTAGAGCTGGAATCCTGGTGAGTACCATAAAATATAGTTTTTCTTAAAAGAAGAATCAGTCTAAACAAAGAAATTACCCCACCGCCAAGGAAAAGGGCCTTCAAATTGCCTATCCAGCAGCATTGCATAATTGCTATGAATCTTTCATTCTCCTTTATTCTGAATGGGAAATTTTTATTGTCATGATTTTGTTCCAGCCCCATTATTTTATATTTGGTGGGGTAGCAAATAAATTGTTTTGTAATTTTGTGCAACCCTGGGCCATAAAAAAATACCCAACTAATAAAATAACTGTGGTTCACTGGGTTTCACGTAAAAAAAAAAATATATTGTCCTAGATTCTGGTTTCACAGATTTATCTTTTAAAGTTATCCCTAAAAGAATATATATAAATTTTGTGCAATTTCCTATACATGTGTTATACTCCTCAATGAAAGCTGAAATTTTAAAAAGAGGAAAATTGAAAAAATTGGAATTAGAAACAAGTTAACATATATCTACAAAAATGATGCCAGTAGATCTACAGAATTATTTTAAATCTATATGCAGTGTTCAGAGGTTTTACCAAAACCACAAGAAAACAGGAATTGTTACAGTAAAATAATACAAAATAATATGGCAGGCAAATACTAATTAAAAAAGAGCTACTTTGGTTATATTAAAATCAGATAAAATAAATTTCAAGGCCCAGTGAACAAGAGATGATGGGGTTCAATTTGTCAGGAAGATATTAATATAATAGTTCTAACCTGACAGATCTGTATGATATACATTCATGCATGTACACACATACTTATATCTATGTTTATATTGATATATAGTTATAAATATATACAGATGACCTCTACTTAACTATGGTTCAACTTATGATTTTTTGCATTTGTGATGGGTTTATTGGGGTGTGACCTCATTGTAAGTCAAGGAACAGCTGAACTTATGATAGTTCAACTTAATATTTTTTTTTACTAACAATGTGTTTACTGGGGTATTAAATGCATTGTGATTTCCAAAATTTTTGAGTTATTATGAGTTTATCAGGGCATAAATCTATCATAAATCAAGGAGCATCTGTATATGTGCAAAATATGCTGAAAGTTACTACATCAGTGAGGATTTAAAAACATATCTTTCAGTAATTGATGGGTGAAACAGGTAAAAATTGTGATTAAGAATATTTGGGTAACATATAGTAAGAATGATCAAATGAGTATATATAGAACACTATACCAAAGAACTGACGAATATACAGTTTCAAGAAACAGGAAACATTCATGAAAATCAACAATATAATAGGAAATAGAGCAATTCTCAGTGGTTTTCCAATATTAATTTCATACACATAATAATATCTAACTGCAATGTTATTAATTTTTAAATAATACAAAGATAACTCACAATATCATAAGCTTGGAATTTTAAAAACACTTTTCTACATAAATTAATGCTAAATAAAAAATCCCAGTGGGGAATAAGTGATCTTTAGAATTGAAGAAAATAAAATAATATTACATATCAATAATCATGAGATGCATTTAATGCAAAAAGTGAAATATTTCTGGTAATTCAAGCTTAAATTTGAACAATTCTTACAGATTATTTTTAACTGAAGTCAATCCTGAAATTTTAAATGGAAGTACAGTCAAGGAACCAAAGGCCAAAGAGCCAAGTATAACCCAGAAGAAATAAGATACGAAAATTTGCTATAGCAGTGATTAAAATTTACTATCAAACAATTGCAATTAACACTGCATGGTGTGAGTGCAAGGATTGAAAGCTAAAAACACGTTAGAGAGTCAAGAAATAGACCTGCAAAAATATGAACACCAGATATTGTATAGAGGTAAAAGTATAGACTAGTCAGTCAGTGGCCCTGAGATAAGTATTTATCCGGAAACTATAAAGCAAGCAAAATAGTGTATCCGTCATGACATATGCAAAAGTTAATTTCCAGTATATCAGAGACTTAAATATGAAAGGCAAATTTAAATAATTTTTTCAGGAATATAAATGGAGGTATTTTTCTGATATATAGATAATTTTTAAGAGAAATAACATACTTAAGTAAAAGAAACTAGTAAGTATTGATAAGTTAATCTATTTTGAATTGTGGACTTTTCATCATCAAAAGACGCCATAAAAAGAATTTTCACGCTGAGAGCAGATCTTTGCAACATAAAAAACCAGTGTAGGATTAATGTCCATAACATATTAAGAAATTCATATAAACCAAAATGTCAAACCACCCAATTAAACTGCAGGCAAAAGATGCAAACAAGTATTTTATGGAAGAGAAAATCTGAATAGCAATAACATATAAAGGTGATCATCTTGTAACTGATGCAGTCATTCCATTTTGGAAACAAATAACTATTCTTTCTTTTACGATACCTAATTGTGTGCTTGCTTAAGAATTCCAAGAACTAACCCCAAGATAAAACCAAGGCTGTGAAATGTTCTTAATGGAAAAAAAATACTGAGCAGTTAATCTTCAATCTTATTAGAGGTTGGATGATGCCAGCTACACCTCTTGATGCCCATTCCTCATGACAGTCGTTGGAAAAAGACATTCTGAAATGCATAGCTAACTCCTGCACATAGTTTCCCAAGCCCTTTCCCCTTTAAAACCCCTATGTCCAGGCTGAGAAACTTGAGATGGTCTTTGCTATGCAAGTCCACCATCTCCTTGGATTGTCAGGTCCTGAATAAACCTGCTTTTCTCTTCCACCAACGCTTGCCTCTCAAGTTTTGGCTTTCAATTGGCAAACAACTGAACCTGAGTTCAGTTACAATCTCATTACTAATCAGGAAATTAAAACCACTGCGTAATACATTTACAATCTGATTTAAAGTATTACTCAATCATGTGAAGCCAAGGGAGCTATGGAAATGTAAAATGTTACAACTGTTCTAAAAAGCAAGTTAGAAATATCTTGGCAAAGCAGAATTTCCAAACAGCTGATGCTTAAACAACTCCATAACCAAATATGTACATTAAAGAATAAATATTCAAACTCATGTATGCTATAATGTACCTCAGGGGTAAACTCAGACAGATCTTCAGTTTCTATACATATTTCCTCCAAATATTGACCTCACTGAGAAGTCCCTGTTTCCGCTTTTGCAAGTCCTCAGTCATAGCTGCCAATCTCCAGTTTAACAAAATAAAGGTAGCCATTTCTCCTATCTGGAACATTACAATAGTACATTAGAGTGTACCAATCTGTAGAGCATCCTACAAGGAAACAGTATGAGCATACAAAGTTTCTGAGGAAGATTTTTATTGTGAAAGCAAACTAAAAAGATGTGTAAAAAATATTGCCTTTATTTCACCTAAGTACAAAACTACTATCAAAAATTTTTGTCTGTTTCAATCAATCACTCTATCAATCATTTATATATCTGCATACTGTATCTACCCAGGAATCTTTAAAAATGAGATGTTTAATGGGCATCTTAAGCTTTATTGGAGTTCAAAAGTGAAATTATTCTTATTGGTAATGCAAGTAATTTTTGATTCTCAGAGTGGGAACTGTTTTGCCAATTAGAGTATATAGTAGACATTTTCCCAAATTGTATGAGATAAAGCTATAGCTTTAAGGGTTTGAGGAAAACACATTTTTAAGACACATTTATAGTATGCTAGAAATTAAATATTTTTGCAATTCTTTTACATAAAAATATTTAGACACCAACCCAAACATATGTGAAGTGGACATAGTTTTTTTCAGTTGTATTAAAGAAAAAAGTTTGAAGATTGCTGCTGAAGAGATACTCCCATGTTCAATAGAAAATGTGCACATAATGTTCATAGCATCATTATTTGTAACATCAAAAAAATAGAAGCAACCAAAATAACCACTAGCCAGGGGATACATCGATATAATTGTGCTATTTTCATATGGTAGAGAACTGCAGAGCAGTGAAAATAAATAACCTACATATATATCAAGAATATGGATGAATGTATCTTGCAGATATTGTTGAGTAAACTAATAAGAAAATCAAGAATGTTATATATGCTGATTCCAGGAAAGTTGCTCTTTCCAGGGTTGTTGAAGGGAATGAGATTCATGAAAGCAAATGAAATGTTTCAAGACTATGAATAATCATCTATTTTTAAAAAAATAGTATGATTGTTAAATGGTTGTAGGTTTTATGATCCTTTTAAATGGTTAAAAGCTACATATGATTTTATGTGTCACATACATATCAACACACACACATACATATATCATATACCACACACAAACACACAGACAGACACACACACAGCCATATATAAAGATAAAACTTTCTACCAGAAAAGTAACCTCTGAAAATTTTAAAGATATTTGAAAGTATTATGTACATATATACTATGGTCAATGTGAAAAGGCATTCTGTTATTTTAAATCTGAAGGCACAGCTTAAATCATGTTTTTATTTTATTTAATTCAGAAAAAGTAACTAGTTTTTGAAATGCTATATTTGGTTTGATGCTAAAAAGTTAAGTGGGAACAGATGCAAGTAGTGTCTGTGGTGAAATCACTCAGAAAGAGTGAGCAAAATATGTTTAACATTCTTCTGAGAAAGGGAATGCCAAAATAATTCTGTCACATGGCTCTCAATTTTTAAAGATGGTAAAATATGACTATTCATTAGGAAGAATAGGGTTTCTAAATCTGGAGATTATTGGCATTTTGAGTTAGATAATTATTTGTGGTGGGGGGCTGACCTATGCATTGTAGGACCTTTCACAGCATCCATGGCATCTGCCTACTAACATCATCCACGCAGTTTTGACCATTGAATATGTCTCCATAAATAACACGTCTTCTGGAGAATAGGGGTGTGTAAAATCACCATAGTTAAAAAGCCCTGATCTAGTGTTAGGGAAATAATGGGATACACACACACACACACACACACACACACACACACACCATATTCATATTTTCAATATAAATATTCTGAATATAAATATACGTATTTTTAATATATTCCAATTAATATATCAGTTGAATATAAATATACATTGAATTACCATTGTTTATGACTGCTGTTGAGAGCGCCACTGGGAATCAAGCTTTTGAAAGTCATGTAGGCAACATGTAACAACAGTCTTAATCTATATCTCTTGTTCCAGAAATTCAGCTTTCAGAAAGGAAGAAATAATAAATGATTAATAGCAAATGTTGATGTCAATCTAAATCTCCATAATAGAAAAACTGTTAAACTGATCATTGGTAAAGACAAACAGTGGAAAACTAAACAATATTTTAGCTAATTACACTTAAAGACATGAAAATAACATATAATGTACAAAAGTCTCTTTTGCCATGCTAGGTGACATATTCACAGGTTTTGGGGATTAGATTGTGGGCATCTTTTGAGAGCATTATTCTGTCTACTACACAAACCCAGAACTCATCACTATCCTACAAGGTAAAAACTTGAACATTAAAGCAAATATTACAACTCAACTTCGGCTCTTTGAGGCAGAGACCAGAACTAAATGCTTATTTAATAAAAAGTGCACCCGGATGTGATTTTGTTAAAAGTAATTAAAATGACAGAAAACATACCTTACAAAACATGAACAGAAAATAAAATCCAAAAGAAGATAGCAAAAACACCAAAAAGTATAATGGCTATTTGTCATGCTTATAAATCAATAATAGAAGTTTTGTATGATTAGTATTGCTTTAAGAGTAGTTATGTTATGCAAAATTATTTGTTATAAAAGGAGCTCTTCTGTATAACTTTCATTGTCTTTTAACAGAGCATACACATTTGCTTTTTGCTTTGTTATACTACTTGAATAGTGTCTTCAAATAGCTCTAAGAAAAATGGTTATCAAAAAAAAGAAGCTACACTATTAAGAAGTAGTAGTCACTACAGAAAATATTATTAGCTCCTTTTGCTTTAAGAGAAAATACTATATTGAATTTGTGTAAATGAGACAGTTTTCTATGTTGGCACATATTTAACACTAATCTATCTCTAAGGTACAGTAGTCTTCCATTACCCTTGTTTTCATTTTCTGGGGTTTCAGTTACCCACCATCAACTGCAGTGTGAACATATTACATACAATAAGATATTTTCAGAGAAATAAGATATTTTGAGAGAGAGAGAAAGAGAGAGAGAGAACTACATTCACATAACTTTAATTACAGTGTATTATATTATTATGACTTCTATTTTATCAGTTAGTGTTAATATCTTATGGCGTCTAATTTATAAATTAAATATCATCATAGATGTGTGCACAGGAAAAAACATACTACATATAGGGTTCAGTATTAACAGTAGTTTCAGGCATCCACTAGGTATTTTGGAACCTATGCCCCACAGATAAGCAGGACCACTATCATATTTTCCTCTGAAATCATTTTTGATAAATTCTATAACTTGTTTTTATTTATATCTTTTTTATATCCTCAAAGCTCCTTTAGTTTTCATTAAAAGCTTGCCAATTGCTTGATTTGCCACATAATTCTGAAAGATCACACTCATGACTGTGTCAAGGCTTAGAAAGTACTACATTGAAAAAATGACACCTTGGTTGTGACTCTCTGATCTCGCTTCTCCCCTAATGATCCTCATGGAACAGGGGTCCTGCTCCATACTCTAGGGGAAGAAATATCATACAGAGATGCAGGAAATAATCTGAACAAACAGTCCTTGCTGAAGTTTATCTCAGTTTATATAATATCATTAGATTATACTCTTTTTTTCCTAATCATGTTTTTTCACAACTATCGACTTTTTTCTTCATACTCAGCATAAAAATACACCATTTTCTCTAGGTTTTTTGGTTTGCATTGATTTATGAAGGCTCTCATGTCACATAAAACTTTGGTTAAATAAATAAATGATGATTTTCTCTTGTTAATCTGTCTTTTGTTATAGGGGTGTTGGCTATGAACACCCTTGTGATGGGAGAGGAAAACATATCACTTTTTTCTCCCCTACAACAGGTGGTCAATCTTTCCTTCAATTCTTCTCTAATATTTTAAAAGTAGGGTTTGTGTATCTTTAAGAGCCTATCTCTCTGGATGTCTACAAAAACAAGATATGGTATACGGTTTAAGCATGTTTTTTTTTTTTTCTCAAGATAGACAGTCATTCTGAGGGGAGAGAGACAAAAATACTGAACATGAGTCCAATTATTTTAATGTTTAGCTCCCTAATATAATTGCATTGTTTGTAGCACAAAGGATAAATGCTTGAGTCGAAGGAAACCCCATTTACCCTGATGTGATTATTATGCATTGCATGCCTGTATCAAAATATCCCATGTGACCCATAAATATATATACCTACTATGTATTCACAAAAATTAAAAATAAACACAATTTAAAATACAAAATGAAATAAAACATTGGACATTTAGAAAGAAAGACAAGGTATAAAAAAACTCTGGTGATAATCAAATCACTGGCCATCCTTTGTTTTTTTCTCCTTCCATATTTTTATTATTTTATAAGGTCCCTGGGATTCTTCCAGTACACTTTGATTTGTGCTTAATTTCATTTTCTGTAACTCACAATCAAGAGTCATTGAAAATAGAAGAGAAAAACCAGTGGACACCTGTGATAGTAAATTTTAGTTGTTGACTGGATTGAAGGATGCCTAGATGACTAATAAAACATTGTTTCTGTATTTGTCTGTAAGGGTGTTTTTGGAGAAGAACTGGTATGTGAGCCAGTCAACTAAGTGGGGAAATTCCACCCTCAACATGGGCAAACACCATCCAATTGGCTAAGGGCTCTTATTAAACAAAAAAGGGTAGAAGGGTCAATTATATCTTTCTCTCTTTTGGAGTAGCACACCCTTCTGCTGCCCTTGAGCATCAAAACTCTAGGTTGTTCTGCCATTTGACTCTGGGAATTGCACTTGCAGTCTACTGGGGCTCTCCTGCCATTGGACTCAGATTGAGACTTCCATCGTTGGCTTTCTCGGTTCTTAGACCTTCCAAATGGGACTGAGCATGCTAGTAGTTTCTCTGGTTCTTCAGCTTACAGATGATCTAGTGTGGGACATCTCAGCTTCCATAATAATTTGAGCCAATTCCCCTAATAAACCCCTCACATATATTTATTTTCCTATCTATCTATCTATCATCTATCTATCTATCTATCTATCCATCTATCACCTATCTATCTTTATATCTATTTATCTTTTTATTCTGTGTCTCTGGAGAATTTTGAGGAATACAGAACCATAAGTAAAACATTTTTGTGTGTTTTTTCATGAAACGATTCCTGAAAACGTATTCCCATGACCAGGCCTAATCTTAAAAGTTTTTATTAGCCTATTAATAGAGCTGACATCACCACAATTTAAAACTTCTTAAGTTGGAATCACTCATACTTTTCTGTATAATTAATAAAGTGTTCATTGAAGAAATGATTCGCTCAATAAGATAAACTGCCCACACCTGGATGGAGCAACAGGCATAAAATAAGTAAGATAACATAATAAGAGTTGTAGCAAAACAAAACAAAACACCTATAGGGATTAAGGTGGGGAAAGGAGTAGTTCCCAGAAAAATAGTTTAGTTCCCCATAAAGATAAAAGGGGCATGTGAGATTAAACCAAAAAATAATTTCTGTCTACTACAGCTTGTCATACCATTTGTGAATGAAATGTGAAGAATGATATCCTGTCATTTGCAACATAGATGGAACTGGAGGTCATTAGGTTAAGTGAATAAGCCAGGTCAGCAAGAAAAACTTTGCATGTTCTCATTTATCTGTGGGAGCTAAAAATTAAAACCATTAAACTCATAGAGATAAAGAGTAGAAGGATGGGTACCAGAGACTGGGAAGGGTAGTGGGAAGATTGGGGCAGAGTGACTATGGCTAATGGGTGCAAAAAATAGTTGGATAGAATGAATAAGATCTAGTATGTCATAGCACATCAGGGTGACTATAGTCAATGCTAATTTATTATACATTGAAAAATAACTAGAAGTGTAGAATTAGATTGTAATACAAAGAAATGATAAATGCTTGAGGTGATGGATACTCCATTTAACCTGATGTGATTATAATGCATTGTATGCCAGTATCAAAATCACTCATGTGCCTCGTAAATATATGCCCTACTATGTGCCCACAAAAATTAAAAATAAAAAGAAATTTAAAAGATCAAAATGGTAAAAGTGAATGTGTCTCAAAAAGCCTAAGAGTAGGAGATCAAGGAACCCATAGCATAAACACCTATTTTGCTTTGATAATTTTGTTACCAGCTAACATCCTGGACTACATGTATAATGTAAAGACATAAACTAAATTTGAAAACATTTCTTTACCCAAGCAAAATAAAGCAAACACATGAGGAAATAAAACCCCTACCTAACTGTAATAAAAAGACCAAAAAAATTTCCAAAACTTTCTAAAATGTATGATTTTATTAAGTGTTCTGTTGAATTAAAAGAAGGAAATTGAACAAAAGGGCAGTATTGCTCCTACAAAATGCTCTCCAGTTTTTATTTTAAACTATGACTCAGAAACAAATTAAAGATGCACTTAATCATATTCAAATTCAAAGAGCATAACCATAGGCTGACGCTATTTTATTTTTTTCTTTCCGCCCCCTCCGGTCTTGATAATGCCATGACAACTCATATCAAGTAGAAAATGTTTTGAATATAGTGAGCATGCACACTAGTAATGCTTTAATTATCTTAATGAGTGCAAAAGATTTCTTATTACAGACAAGGGAACAAAATTGCTTTTTACAGATTTACAACTGAGAACAATGAGAAAGTTAATGAGCTATTTATGAGAAAATGCATTTTAAAGAATAATATTCTGGATTCTCACAGATGTAAAAGGCATCTGTCACAAATTTCTAGTATCTTGAAAATGTTTCAGACTCATTGAGAAATCATATTATTAATATTTAGGACTAATGGCAAATTATCATATGTGTAATGTTGTCTGTGATACTATATGTAATGTAAACCGAACACACTTGCAAATTAATTAATATGTCATTTACAATTATCTTCGTGAAGACACAGTCAGGTATAATCAAGCTTAATGCACATATCAGATTTCACGTATCTGATTATAAATTAATCTTTAGCTGTAGGACAAATGACTACAAAATGGCAGTGTAAGTATGGCACATAGGACATGAAATATTAATGAGAACTAGTTGTACTTACCTCTCAACAACATCTAAATAGGAATCTGTTTGCAGACCTTGAGTGGTTGTAGCACATTTCTACTACAGAAAAGAAAATAAATGCAGTGAACTTTTAAAAATCTCAGTAAGCCCGGCTTTCAAATGTATAATTTACTATTTTATTGGCTGCTTATAAATGGATAATAATAAGCTCCTGGCTGAATGTAAGCTCATAAATGCAGGATCAAAAATGAGGAGAATGCCATAAGATAATAAAAGTATAAGTTTATGGTACTAATTTTCCTCTAAGTAACTACAGTGTGAGTAAAAAAAATACAACTATAGTGGTAAAATGTGAATAGAAATTTTGATATTCTGCTTGTGCAGAACAAGGTTTTTATAGGAAAAGAATCTTTGGAAATATAATCACCCATACTTCTGTAACAATGCAGGATCAGCCAGTACTAAGATTGCTGCTTAGGTTGGATGGCTTCAATGGGTAATAATTTTCATATTTATTACTATTTGTTTTTTTGATATATTCCTAAATCTCAAGCATGTATGGATTAGCTAGTCATGTTAATCAACGGTCATGAATATAGAAATATTTTCTCTTAGTGTTTTGATAGAACTATTAATATTTTTGTTCTTTATTGCTCACGTATTTTTAAATACAAAAACAAATATGTATATACATATATGTGTGTGTGTGTGTGTGTGTTTACATATATAACTATTTTGGTACTAATGAACATTGTCACAAATAAATTGTAATTACATAATAGAATTAGTGATCTTATTAGTATTTTATTTATTATACTGAATATAGTTTTGTCCAAGTTGACTTAAATACATTGGCATCCAGGATATTACAAAGATTTGAAGATGTTAGCTGAAATCAACTTTATTTAATTTAGTAAATCTTCATTGTGATGCCATTGTGGTAAAAGAAAACAAAGCAGAAAGGATATTTACCCATTTTTATACATTAATTATGAACTAATATTTTTCTGATTATACAAAAAATAAAGACGATTTGAAATAAACTGTTTTAAATATATCAATAGCATTTGGGAAATTATAAAGTTTGTACTGGCTTTAGACATCACTCACAGGTATCAGGCATTTCACATAATTATTTCTAAGACTCCATGATATCCAGACTCATATGGCCAGATACCTACTAAAAATTTGTACATAGATATCTAATGGGCATCAAAAACTTAACGCATGCAAAACTGAGCTCCTGGTTTTCCCTCAAAATCTGCTCCTCCCAACTGCTTTCTCCTTCTCAGTAAATGGCAGTGCCATCATTAGATCTGCTAAGAACAAAAATCTTGAATTCATTTGTTTTACTTAGAATTTAAGCTAAAATACAAGTAATGGAGACCTGATTACAGTGGTTTAAACACAAGAATGATTTTTTCCTATTTGACAAATATTTTAGATATAGACAACCACTGTTACCAGTTTAGGGCTTAAAATGCATCATTTGCAAACATCTTGGTATTTTAGTCCATATTCCAGATAGCAGAAAGGAACAAAAGATGAGTACATGCTATATAATGTGCATATTTCACGTTGCATGCCTGTATCAGAGTATCTCATGTACACCATGAAGATGGACCTCTACTATGTACCTACACAAAATTTTAAAAACAAAAAAATTTTTAAAAAGAAAAGATGAGTACAATAAAGTAAACATTCTAGCTAAGCAACTCATTTTAAAGTGCATTCCCAAAAGCTCCACCAGGCAATTTTATCATTGCATTTTCTTGGCTACTTTCATTTGAAAGAGAAGCTGAGAAATGAATTCTCTTTCTCCTCTTCCTTCTTCCCCTCCTCCTTCTCTTCCTTCTTTTATAACTTGAAAATATTCCCACCTCCAATAATAAGGATAATTTGTTATTAAGAAAGAAAATGGCAAGCAGTCAGCAGTCTCTTTTTAATTATTCTTAAAGCCTTTCTCTTAAGCCCTACTTCCAGCCCACAAGAAAACACTGTCATCTCTTCCACGAAAAAAAAATCATCTAAAACTCGACACTTTTCACCCCTTCAACTGCTACAGCTTTGCTCCAAGCCAGTATCTGTCACCTGTGTTATGGCAATAGCCTCTAATTAGTCTCTGTTTTGGCCACCACCACGCTATGATCTATTCTCAGTGTGGCAGCCATACTGATTCTTCTAAAATGTTTTGTCATACCTCTCCACTGCTCAAAACTTTCCAATGCTTTTTATTCCACACAAAGTAAAGTTAAGAGTCCTAATAGCAAGTTAAAAGGTATTACTTCAGAACTCTCTATTTTCAGCTCCTACTGTACTCTCCCTTCTCTCTTATATATTTGAAAACACAAGGTATCATTCAAGGGCAGTGTCCACAATGAAGGGAGGCAAAAAGAATACTACATGGACATGAGATGATGACGGAAATATTTAAAGGAGGCAGTATTAGGCCCCCTGGGCACTGGGCATATGGATAGATAGAATTATAAGATTGAGAGTGTAAGTGAGGAAAACAAACAAACAAAATGTGTTTCTGTATCACTTATTATTTGGAACTCTGGAGGAAGACATCATTACAGTATGTTACATGCCAACATGAGATAGTTCAATGGAGTACAGTTGAATATATTTTATGTTCTGGTAAATAGAGTATCTAAGATGATTTATTTCTCTGTTTCACATTGTCCCAATGGGCCATGGAGTAGAACCAGAAATTTCTGCATGCCCTACCTAATGGGAAGGTGTAAGAGTGTTGAGAGAACTGATGGCCAAAATAGGCCCGGGCTTATGACAAGGAAGGTTCAAAGTCTGTGATTCTTATGAATACAGGCCACTGCACATTCCAGAAATGTCAGCAGTCAAAGTTAGCATATGTCCAAAATTTAGGACAAGCTCAGTTGCAACAAAGTAGTTAAGGTAGGGACAGAGGGTGGCACCACAGACCAGTTGTGATAAGTCATTCTAGCAGACATTGATGATGCTCCAGAGGATAGTACATAAATAAGACATCACTCCCAATGTTTTGCAATTTCTTCTGCACCCAGGCACAAGCAGAAACAAGAATATAGGAGTATAACACTAATAAATGCTTGTACTGTATAGGATTTGAATGTGTACAATTTTTTATTTACTCACTAAAACTCAAAGTGCAGAAATATTACTTCTTGTATTTCCTTTATAAGTGATGTCATAGATGGCCCATGACAAAATGGAAAAGTAGACAGAAGAGGAAGTTTGCCTTTTAAAATAACATCATTTTTCCGTATTACTTGAACCTCTTTCAGTACTCAGGACTTCACAGGCAAAGGAGCAGCACGTCTGGTTAATAAAGAAAAATAATATTTCTTTTTAAGGAACTGAATATGTTAGACCTCCAGAGAACATCTGAATTTTAAAATGAGGGACATCTGTAGAGTATGATATCTAAAAGAAGTTAGTAGAGGATTTTAGTATTTCATTATGCAAGTCATATATATTTAGCAAAGGAGCTCTGTATTGACACAATTCTCATCAAACTTTATAAAGCTAACTCCCTTGCCTATTCTGCCTATGCAAAAATTCTGTCCATAAAGGCAGGATAATATATTTGCTACTTATCTTCAAAGGAAACAGAAGACCTGCTAAGCCTGGAATTGAAGAATATTTAAGGAAAGGACTATTCCGCAAATTATGGCAAGATTAAGAGAACCAATGAGGCAGATTGAGGCATCTGGTAACTAGCAACAGAAAGAAGTCCTTGTAACCATTAGCTCTCAAGGGACAAAAAGGAAGAAATGGTGATATTGAGACCATTAGCTCTAACAATGGTTAGAGCTAAAGCCATACAAAGGAGGCTGCCAAACAGGAGCTATATTTACTCATTTTTTTTTGTTCTGTGCACCTCTTTGTCAGTAAAAAAAAAATGGATCCCTTCACAGAATACTAATTTTAAATGCCAAAATAAAATACATAGGATTAAGAAGCAAAGGAAAGTAATCTCACAGTTGATAGACAAGTATTTCTTAACATAAGAAAGTAATCTCAGAGCTGACTGACAGGTATTCCAGAATCACAGAGACTTGCTTTTTCCAAGCAGTAAGTACATTAGTTTGTTGGATAATACCCTCTAAATATAATCAAATGCAAATTTTGTAAGTTTAGTTAGTCTTTGATATTTGCACAGAGAGATTAATTTGGGGGGCTGATTTACTTAAATGTTGTGATTAGAAAATTAGTTGTTAATTATATCAAATTTACTTTTATCATTAAGATCATTTTTCATTTTTATCAAAATGGTGAATTAGCTAAAATAGATAAAACTATGACTGTATGATCTCTGCATTCCCAGGTTAATCTTAATTGATCATGATGTAATTTTTATGCATGTATTACAGGAGGCAGTGCAGTTACATATTATCAAAAATGTGTGTGTCAGTGTCTATCAGTGAGGTGAATTGGTATTCTTATTTTCTCCTAGATCTGTCTTTGTCAGACATTGGTTACAATGTTATGATGATTTAGTAATAATGAAAATAAACAAAGTAGCACACTACCAGTGTGCTAAGCATATTTCACTTATTCTTGAATCTTGAAAAAAAAGCATAATTTTTTTCTTTGTTCTCTATACTTAGGAATAGCTAAATAGCAACAAAATTATCTGTTCTTAAACATACTGCAAAAACTGCCTGCAAAATTTTCTGGGCCAGAAAAAATTCATAGTATAACCCTTTGAAAATGTACTCAATATTGTATATAATACTCATCTGAGTAGCTTTTCTATTGCTTCTTGAGTCAATTTATTGGTAATTATAATTTTCTTACAAATTAATCATTTTACTCAAATTTGTATAAAGTCAGTTCAAAGAATAATTTTACTTTTATTTGCTTTGTTGAGTGTTTTTCTGTTACTCTGTTTTTCATTGTAATTGTGGGCTTTTCTCTTCATAAATTTTATTTTGCAATTGATCTCACTTAGAATAATCTATTGTCTATTAGTTCACTTTTTCTAATACTTCAATATAATATGCATATTTCTTCACTTTTACTTAGGGTTTTTTTTTCTTTCTTTTATCTTTCTTTTTTTTTTTTTTTTTGAAGACCGAGTCTTGCTCTGTCGCCCAAGCTGCAACGGTGCTGTCTCAGCTCACTGTAACCTCCACCTCCTGGGTTCAAGCGATTCTCCTGCCTCACCCTCCTGAGTAACTGGGACTACGGGTGCACGCCACTACACTGGCTAATTTTTGTATTTTTAGTAGCCATGGGGTTTCACCATGTTGGCCAGGATGATCTCGACCTCCTGACCTCCTTATCCACCCACCTCAGCCTCCCAAAGTGCTGGGATTACAGGCGTGAGCCACCGCGCCCAGCCTACTTAGGTTTTTATCTTAAGCAAAACAATTAAATTTCTCCTTTTATTGTGTTTAGAAAGAAATTTGTTTAAAAGCTATAACGTATCTACTGTGCTTATCTCATGAGCTGTGATAATCTCCTGATTATTTTCTGGATAGACATAAGTGCTAGTGTTGATTTACTCATCAACCTACAAGTTGTTCAAAAGAGAGCTCCCCACTGTTCTATCCATGGTTCAATGTTTTTGTTTTCTTACTAAGAACTAAAGTTCTCTGTTCATCCATTATGTAAGATGTGAAAATGCAAAACTCCCACTCCCATCAATGCAATTAAAACTATGTATAATGTTTATTGTCTGATAATTTTTTTTCCTTGCATACATGCTCATTTTAACAAACCAACTAGAGTGCTTTTCTTTAAGAATGATGACATGTAGTGTTTCACAGAGACACTCCCTTGTGAAAAATGCCTAACTAGCATAAAAACATTTAAAATCACAACCACTTAATGTCCCTAGAAATCGTCCTAATTAACAAAACTAAGTTATTTTAAAAATCTACTAAAACTTAATAAGAGCACAGAGACCCCATGGTATCTGAGACCTTCTCCTTCACCTATCCTGGGCTCATCTTGACAGAAATTTTATATCAGGTGGATATAGCCAAGAAGATAGACTCTCTACTCTGAAATCCAAATTAAGGTTTACTCTATCTCTCACCTAGAGGGGTAGGTCATCAACATGTTTTATCTCCTCCAACTCCTAGTTAAAGAGGCCAAATTAATAGTGAGTGTGACCAAGAAGTGGGACCTTTTACCTACACCCAGTCTCTACATAGAGGATAGAAGCTCTAACCCCAATGTGGTAAGCTGAGAATTCTGGGACCCCCAAATGCTCTTGCCCTAGCTCATTTATTGGGCAGTTTCCATGTTAGGAGAGGCAAGCATAAGAGAACACAGTCTAGTGGCCTGCCTAGTGCCCAGAGTAGTTAGTCATATAGTTAGCCAGAGAGAAGGGAAGAGTATAAGGAAAGAGAGCTATGAAGCTCCCCTTACAAAATATGACTTTATAGAACATGTAGGAGTTTTAAATTAAGGACACTCTCAGTAGCAATGGCTCTTCTCAATCAAGATCAGCAATCTGAAACATAGGCCAGATACTTTACCAGAATGTATGAAAAAATGTAGCTAAGAATAGCGACCCTAAAGTCATGACAAAGTTTAAAGACTGGCCTTAAATACTATTCCTGACCCAACTTAACTGGATCAAATTGCTGAGCAATAGTTCACTCAGGGTATTGCTGAATACAATAGAGAAATCAGCTGATAATGAAGCTGAACTGGAGGGAAATAATACCAAATGACGCAGAGAGTTTTACAGAAAAAATATGAAAAGAGATAATCAAAGAGATCTCTGACAAAGCCACTACAATCTCAGGGTGATTATACACAGCCATGTAGGTGACTTCAAAGGAGGAACACAAAAGGCTTCAAACTGCTGTAGTGATCAATTTCACTAAAATGGCCTAGCCAGGTTAAAAATCATAATAATAACAAAGTAAGCAACAACAGAAACAGAGACAGGAAAAAAAAAAACTTAGTACCCCAAATTGCCACAATATATGACCTATAACGTTCAGTTATCAAAAAACTACAAGATATGCAAATAAATAGGAATATGTGAATGATACACAGAAAAAAGGAAACAATGGGAAAAGTATGTAAAAATGAGGAGCTATCAGATATAACAGAAAAAGACTTAAAGGAGCCATGATAAATATGTTCAAATAACTATCATGAAGATCTCTATTAACAATTGAACATCAAATGTAGAAGAACTAGAAAAGTAAGCATAAACCAACTCAGAAGCAAGCAGAAAACAAAAGAAATAAGCAAAATTAGACCTGAATACAATTGACACAAAAAATACAGAAAATTTTTATAAAACTAGGTTTGTTTTTTGAAAGAATAAATAAGATTGATGGACTGCTAGCTAGAATAATAAAGAAAAGAAAAAAAAAGACAAGATCCAAGTAAATACAACCAAAAATGACAGAGGACATTATCACAACATTCACAGAAATACAAAAATCATCAGTGACTATTACAAACACCTCTATGAACACAAACTAGAAAACCTAGAAAAAATGAATAAATTCTGAGAAGCATACAACCTCTCAAAATTGAACTAGGAAGAAATTCAAATGCTGAACAGACCAATAATGAGTTCCAAAATTGAATCAGTAATAAAAAGCCTACCAACCAGAAAAAGCCCAAAACCAGATTAATTAAAAGCTGAATTCTACAAGATGTATAAAGAAGAGCTGGTACCATTCTAACTGAAGCTGTTCCAAAAACTTAAGAGGAGGGATTCCTGCCTAACTCTTCTATGCGGCCAGCATTATTCTGATAACAAACCTGGCAGAGACACAATGACAACAGCAACAACAACAAACACTGCCAAAATGCTCAAAAAAAAAAAAAAAGAAAGAAAGAAAGAAAAAAAACTGGCAAAATGAATCCAGCAGCACATCAAAAAGCTAATCCACCATGATCAAGTCGACTTTATCTTTGGGAGGCAAGGTTGGTTCCACACATGCAAATCAATAAATGTGGTCTATTACATAAAAAGAACTTTTAAAAAACGATCATCTCAATAGATGCAGAAAAGGCTTTCAGCAAAAATCAGCATTCTTTCATGTTTAAAACTCTCACCAAATTAGGCATTGAAGAAACATACTTCAAAATGATAAGAGCCATCTATGACAAACACATGGCCAACATCTTAGGAAACAGGCAAAAACTGGAAACATTTCCCTAGGGAAATGGAACAAGACAAGGGTGCCCACTCTCCACAATTCTAGTGAACATCGTACTGAATGTCCTAGCCAGAGCAATCAAGCAAAGAAATGAAAGGCAACCAAATAGGAAGAGAGGAATTCAAACCATCTCTCTTTGTAGTTGATACGATTTTATACCTAGAAGACCTCATAGTCTCTGCCCCAAAGTTCTTAGATCTGGTAACCAGCTTCAGAAAAGTTTCATGATACAAAATTATTACCGGTAGTGGGTCTTGACTACACACTCTCTAGGTCCTTGGCGTTTTAAACAAAGAATTGAACAAAACGCACAAAGTAGCAGAGAAATGAAATGCAAGAACGAAGCAGTGAAAGCAGGAATTTATTAAAGCGAGAAAGCACTCTGCAGGGAGAGAGTGGGTCCCAGCAAGCGGCCCCATGGCCCAGTTACAAAAGTTTCTGGGCTTTAAGAACTCTGTTTGAGGTTCTTGGACTACCCCTTATCTGGATGAAGGATTTGGTCTGTGGTTAAAGGCTGCTGTGAATTGGTGCCCAATGCAGATAAAGGGATGGTCCCTGCTTGGCCTGTGGCTAATCCAAGGTACTCTCCCTTTCCAACTGAGACGGTGGAAGGGGGAGGGAGGGTTGTTGGGAGAGTAGCCTTGTTCCTTTGTTACTCCCTGTGGGAGATGGGGTTTTTCCTTTTGGTTTAGCTTTAGGAATTTTGTGTTAATTGGCCTTAGGTTCCCTGCCCCCAGACCCAGGTGTTTTCCTTTTGATCCAGCTTTGAAAAGTCAGAGTGAATTGCCCTTAGATTCCTTGCCCACAGAGCTTGATGTTTTTCTGTGACTCAGCACGAATTGGCCTTAGGTTACCTGCCTCCAAGCCCTATTCTCCTGCCTAAAAATCAATCTGCAAAAATAAGTACCATTTTATACACCAGCCACATCCAAGCTGAGTGTCAAATCAAGAACACAATTCTTTACAAAATAGCCGTAAAAAGAATAAAATATTAGTACCTAGGAATAAAGCTAACCAGGGACGTGAAAGACCTCTTCAAGGAGAACTACCAAACAGTGCTCAAAAAATCAGGGCACAGTGGCTCACGCCTGTAATCCCAGCACTTTGGAAGTCCGAGGCAGACATATCGCTTAAATCCAGGAGTTTGAGATCAGCCTGGGCAACATGGCGAAATCCTGTCTCTACAAAAAATACAATTAGCGAGGCAGGCGTGGTGGCACGCAACTGTGGTCCCAGCTACTCAGCAAGCTAAGATGGGAGGATCCCTTGAGCCAGGGAGGTGGAAGTGGCAGTGAGCTGAGATCGCAGCACTGCACTCCAGCCTCGATGACAGAGTAAAACCCTGTCAAAAAAAAAACAAACAAACAGAAGAAGATGATGAAAGAAGGAAAGACAGAAAGACAGAAAGAAAGAAAGCAGGAAGGCAGGAAGGAAAGAAAGAAATCAGAAATGGCAAAAAACAGATGGAAAAATATTCCATGCTCATGGATAGGATGAATCAATATCATAAAAATGGCCATACTGCCCAAAGCAATTTACAGATTCAATGCCATTTCTATCAGAGTACCAATGACATTCTTCACACAATTATAAAATATATATATATATATATGGAACCAAAACAGAGCCGGAATAGCCAAAGACATTCTAAGAAGAACAAAACAAACAAACAAACAAAAAACATTAAACCTGGAAGCATTACATTACTGAACTTCAAACTATACTACAAGGCTACAGTAACCAAAATAGCGTGGAAGTGGTACAAAAACAGACACATAGATCAATGGAACAGAATAGAGAGCCCAGAAATAAAGCCACACGCCTACAACCATCTGTTCTTTGAAAATGTCAACAAAAAAAGGCAGTGGGAAAAGGCCTCCCTATTTAATAAATGGAGCTGGGATAGCTGGCTAGTCATATGCAGATGATTGAAAGTGAACCACTTTCTTACACCATATACAAAAATCAACTCAAGATTATTAAAGACATAAATGTAAAACCTAAAATTATAAAAACCTTTGAAGAAAACCCAGGAAAATCCATTCTAGACATAAGCCTTGACAAAGATTTTATGACAATGATGCCAAAAGCAATTGCAACAAAGTAAGCAACAACAGAAACAGAGAAGCTGTGCAGAAGCTGTTTAAGTCTTTTTCTGTTATATCTGATAGCTCCTCATTTTTACATACTTTTCCCATTGTTTCCTTTTTTCTGTGTATCATTCACACATTCCTATTTATTTGCATATCTTGTAGTTTTTTGATAACTGAACGTTATAGGTCATATATTGTGGCAATTTGGGGTACTAAGTTTTTTTTTTCCTGTCTCTGACAAATGGGACCTAATTAAACTAAATAGCTTCTGCACAGCTGACATCATACTTAATAACCAAAAGCTGGAAGAATTTCCCTTGAAAACTGGAACAAGACAACGATGCCCACTCTCACCACACCTATTCAGCATACTACTGGAAGTCCTATCCAGAGCAATCAGGTAAGACAAAGAAACAAAAGACAGTCAAATAAAAAGACAGGGAGTCAAACTCTCTTCAAAGACATTATAATTCTATACCCAGAAAATCCTCTAGTCCCTGTACAAAGGCTTCTAGATCTGATGAATGACTTCAGCAATGTTTCAAGAATCAACATCAGTGTACAAACATCAGTAGTATTTCTATCCATCAATACTGTCCAAGCTGAGAGCCAAATCAAAAATACAATCCCATTCCCAATAATCACATACATATACACAAAAATACCTAGGAAAACAACTAACCTGAGAAGTTAAAGATCTTTTCAACAAGAATTACAAAATGCTGCTCAAAGAAATCAAAGATGACACAAACAAATGGAAAAACACTCCAAGCTCAGGGATAGGAAGAATCGATATTTTTAAAATGGCCACAAGAATGACCCGAGCAATTTACAGATTCAGTGCTACTCCTATCAAATTATTAATGCCATTCTTCACATAATCAGAAAAATCTTTTTTAAAATTCACGTGGAACAAAAATATAACAAACATCCAAAGCAATCCTAAGCAAAAAGAAAAAAGCTGGAAGCATCATAACATCCAACTTCACACTATAGTGCCAGGGTAAAATAACTAAAATAGCATGGTACTGGTACAGAGATGGGCACATAGATCAATAGGAAAGGATGAAAGGCCACAAATAAAGCCACACACCTAAAAACATCTGATCTTCGACAAAACTGACAAAAACAAGCAATTGGGAAATAATCCCCATTCAATGAATGGTGCTGGGATAGCTGGCTTGCCATATGCAGAATGTTGAAATGGGACTCCTTCCTTATACTCTACACAAAAATCAACTCAAGATAGCTTGAAGAGTTAAATGTAAAACCTAAAGCTATAAAAACTATAGAGGAAGACCTATGAAATGCCATTCTTAGACATTGGCCCTTGTTCAGAAATCATGATGCAGCCTCCAAAGGTAATTTCAACAAAAACAAAAAATTGACAAATCGGACCTAATCGATCTAAAGAGCTTCTGCAAAACAAAAGAAACTATCAGAGTAAACAGACAACCTACAATATGGGTGAAAATATTTGGAAACTGTGCATCCAGCAGAGGTCTAATATCCAGAATCTAGAAGGAACTCAAGTCAACAAGCAAAAATAATCCCATGTAAAAATGGGCAAAGACATGAACAGACAATTTTCAAAAGAAGATACACACGTGGCTATCAAGCATATGGAAAAATGTTCAATATCACAAATCATTAGGGAAATGCAAATCAATGCCACAAAGAGATACCATCAGAATGGCTATCAGAATAACACCAGTCAGAATGGCTATCATTAAAAAGTCAAAAATAAATAAATAACAGATGCTGGAGAGGTTGTGGAGAAAAGGGAAGGCTTCTACACAGTTAGTGGGAATTTAATTTTTCTTTAGCCAATGTGGAAAACACTTTGGAGATTTCTCAAAGAAGTTAAAACAAAACTAACATTTGACCTAGCAATTCAATTAATGGGTATATACTCAAAGGAATATATATTATTCTACCATAAAGACACACGCATGAGTAAGTTCATCGCTGCACTATTCACAATAGCAAAGACATGGAATTAACCTAGATGGCCACCTACAGTGAATGGGATAAAGAAAATGTGGTGCATGTAATGTACATCACGGAATACTACAAAGATTTTTAAAAATTAGATCATATTCTTTGCCACAACATGAATGGAGCTGGAGGCCATAATCATAAGTCAATTAATGCAGGAACAGAAAACCAAAGACTACATGTTCTTACTTATAGGTGGGAGCTAAACATTGGTACCCATGGACACAAAGAAAGAAGCAATAGACACTGGAGCTTATTTGAAGTTGAAAGGTAGGAGGATAGTGAGAATTGAAAAACTCTCTACTGGGTAGTATGCTGATTACCTGTGTTACAAAATTATCTGTACACCAAACCAGCATGGCATGCAATTTACCCGTATAACAAACTGGCACATGTACTCCTTAAACCAAAATAAAAACTGGGGGGAAAATATCTCAGTAACTAAGTCTAAAAAACAAAGGCTTCCAAATTACTTGAATGAATTTAAAAAATGTCCATAGTTATCAATAATTATTTTATTATTTTTATACTTCTGTTTACTTTTTAATAGACTCTAACAAAATAAACTACCTAATAATACATCTAACAAAAATGTGTTTTGAATATAACAAAAACCATAGAAAGTTCCTAAGTTATATGAATGTAGACATAAACACATGAAAAATCAAATCATGTTATTAGATGGGAAAACTCAATATTATCAACATCAATTGTTCTTAAGGTAATTTACAAATTTAATTTTGTTCCAATACAGATACAATTAAGTAACGCAGATGGGCATGTTATTGTATAAAAGTCTTTTATTTCTTTCCAAACACTATTTTAGGTTTAGGGGGTACATGTGCAGGTTTGTTACAAGGGTAAATTGCGTGTCACAGAGGTTTGCTGTACAGATCATTTCACCAGCCAGGTGATGAGCATAACATCGCATAGGTAGGGTTTTAATTCTCAATCTCCTCTCACCTTCCACCCTCAAGTAGGCCCCAATGTCTATTGTTCCCTTCCTTATGTCCCTGTGTACACAATGTTTAGCTCCCACTCATAAGTGAGATCATGTGGTATTTGGTTTCTGTTCCTGCATTAATTTGCATAAGATAATGTCCTCTGTCTGCATACATGTTGCTGCAAATGACATAATTTTACTTATTTTTATGGCTGTGAAGCATTCCATGGTGTATATGAACCACATTTTCTTTATCAAGTGCACCATTGATGGACATCTGGGTGGATTCCATGTCTTTGCTATTGTGAATAGTTCTGTGATGAACCTACATGTGCATATGTCATTATGGTAGAAAAATTTATATTCCTTTGTGTATATACTTAGTAATGTGATTGTTTGGTCAAATGGTAATTGTGTTTTAAATACTTTGAGGAATCACCAAACTGCCTTCTGCAATGGCTGAACTAATTTACATTCCCACCAGCAGTGTATAAGCATTCTCTTTTCTTTGCAACCTCACCAACATCTGTTATTTTTTGACTTTTTTATAATAGCCATTCTGACTGGTGTGAGATAGTATTGCATTGTGGTTTTAATTTGTGCTTCCCTAATGATTAGTGATATTGTGCATTATTTCATATGCTTGTTGGCCATGTGTTTGTCTTCTGAGAAGTGTCTGTTCATGTCATTTGCCCATTTTTAGAGGAGTTCTTTCTTTCTTTTTTTCTTGATTTTGTAAAGTTACTTATAGATTCTGGATATTAGGTTTCTGTTGGA
Organism: Homo sapiens; assembly: GCF_000001405.40. Lineage (NCBI taxonomy): Eukaryota > Metazoa > Chordata > Mammalia > Primates > Hominidae > Homo > Homo sapiens. The sequence continues at coordinate 3,083,138 of NC_000024.10, read as the reverse complement.
TGTATAGTCTGCAAGTGTATTTTCCCACTCTCTAGGTGGTCTGTTTACTGTGTTGGTAGTTTCTTTCACTATGTCAAAGCTCCTTAGTTTAATTTGGTCCTGTTTGTCAATTTTTATTTTTGTTGAAATTATTTTTGGAGTCTTCACCATGAAATCTTTGCCAGACCAATATCCAGAATAGTATTTCCTAGGTTTTTCTCTAGGGTTTTATAGTTTTAGGTTTTACATTTAAGTCTTTAATCCATGTTGAGTTGCTTTTTACATCTGTTTAAATAAAGGGGTTCAGTTTTAATCTTCTGCCTATGGCTAGTAAATTATCCTAGTAGCATTTATTGAATAAGGATTTCTTTCCGCATTGCTTGCTGTTGTTGAGTTTGTCAAAGATCAAATGGTTCTAGGTGGACGACTTTATTTCTGGGTTCTCTAACCTGTCCCATTTATCTATGTGTCTGTTTTTGTACCAGTACCATACCTTTTTGGTTATTATAGCCTTGTAGTATAGTTTGACATCAGCTATTGTGATGCCTCTGGCTTTGTTATTTTGCTTAGGATTTCTCTGCTGTTTGGGCTCTGTTTTTGTTCCATGTGAATTTTAGAAGTGATTTTTCTAACTATGTGGAAAACCTCATTGTTAGTTTGTAGGGTTTTTGCTGAAAGGTCTACTCTTAGCCAGACTGGGTTCTTTTTGTAAGCAACTTGCCCCTTATTTCTAGCTGCCATATATATACTTATATATGTATATATGTGATATATATGGCATATATATACTTATATATGTATATATGTGATATATATATGCCATATATATACTTATATATGTATATATGTGATATATATATGCCATATATATACTTATATATGTATATATGTGATATATATATGCCATATATATACTTATATATGTATATATGTGATATATATATATGTGTGTGTGTGTATATATATATATATATATACTGCATTGGGGATGGTTGCCTTGCATACTGTTTCACAGGGGTTCCCTGAATTTCCTTACTTTGAACATTGCTTTCTCTACTGAGGTTGGAGAAATTTTTGTGGACAATACCCTTGAATATATTTTCCAAGTTTCTAGTTCCCTCTCCTTGTTTTTCAGAGACACCAATGTGTCATAGGTTTGGTGGTCTCTTTATATAATTCCATATTTCTTGTAGGTTTTGTTAATTCTTTTGTATTTCTTCTTTATTTTTGTCTGACTGAGATTCAAAGAACTGGTCTTTGAACTCTGAGATTCTTCCTGCAGCTTGGTCTATTCTGCTGTAAATACTTCCAATTGTATTATGAAATTGTTGTAGTGAAAATTTCAGCTGTAGAAAATCAGTTTGGTTTTTGCATATAATAGTTATTTTCTGTTTGAGCTCTTGTATCATTTTACTAAATTTCTTAGTTTCCTTGGCTTGAGTTTCAATTTTTTCCTGAATCTTCATGATCTTCATTGTTATCCAGATTCTGAATTATATGTTTATATTTTAGACATATCAGCTTGGTTAAAAAGTATTGCTGGAGAGCTAGTTCAATTGTTTGTTTGGATATAAGGGTGCTCACCAACCCTGTGCAGGGTTCCCAGCTTCCTCCCTCTTCAGTCTATGTCCTCCCTTTACCCACTCTCAATGCCTTCTTCCTGAAAATTTGCTTGGAGTGTGCTGGTCTTTTTGATAGTCTAGTCTCTTAGTGGGGGAAGCTCTTTCTATCTGCATCTAGTTGGCCATTTTGGCACTTTTGCAAAAAAAATTGTATAGATGAAAACTCAAATAAGACTATCCAAGTAAACTAAACTTTTTGAGCTATATGAGCTTTGGAATCCCCTTGCCTTTTCTTTGTCCACTTCCCAGCTTCTGGAGTGCCATGTTGTCCTCCCTACTGATCTCTCAGGTCCTGTGAGTCACAGGGAATAGAAAGTTGAGGCAGAGCCATGTGGGCCTCCCAGAGTGAAGAAAAAAAAGCAGTGGAGGCTGCTCAATAACTACTTTGAATGTAAATAGTTTAAACTGCCCAATCAAATGACATAGATTGGCAGAATATTTTAAAATAGAAACATGATTTAACTATACACTGACTACAAAGACTCATTTTAAATCTAAGGATATACAGTAAAAATGAAAGGATAGTTGATTTTCATACATTATATGAATGTATCAAATTATCACATATACCCTGAAAATATGTACATCTATTATGCATAAATAAAAAAAGAAAAAAATGAAGAAACATATTTAGCAAAGAAAGTGAAAGAATGGCGAAAATATTTCATGCAAATAGTAAAAAAAATTGAGCAGAAGTGGCTACATTAATATTAGACAAATAATTCTCAAGTCAAAAATAGTTACTAGAGACAAAAATGGACATTATGTAACAATAAAGTGTTCAAATAACCAAGAAGATACAGTAGTCCTCCCTTATCCACGTGGCATAAGTTTCAAGACTCATCCCACAATAGATGCCTAAAACCATTGATAGTACCAAATCCTATATCTATCTATATATATGTATATATGTGTATATATGTATATATAAGTGTGTGTGTATATATATATATACTATTTATTGCACTTATATGCATTTATGCACCAAATGTCTGAGTCTGAAAATATGTGAAGCGAATACTGATGAATTTGACGGGATGACGAGAAGAGATACTTTGCATGATTTAATGTTTTTAAATTAATTAAGACTTTTTCTGTGGCCAAGCATGTTGTCTATCTTGGAGAACATTCTATATGCACTCAGAAAAAAAATACATTCTTCTGTGTTACTTATGTTTGTTACATCCAATTGGTCTATAATGTTTATCAAATTCTCTTTTCATTTATCAAACTTCTGTCTTATTTTTTCTATTATTGAACGTGGGATATTGAAGTCTCTAAGAGACGTTCAATAATTTAAAAACATTAAATCATGCAAAGTAGCTCTTCTCATCACAATTGAATAAAAGTAGAAATGAAGCAAAGGAAAACTGAAAAATCCACAAATATGTGCAAATTAAACAATACACTCTTTAAAAAACAATGAGTGAAAGATAAAATCACTAAAGAAATTAGAAAATGTCTTGAGAAAAATGAAAATAAAAACACAAAATAATAAAACTTATAGATATAGCCAAAAAAATGCTAAGAGGGAATTTTTAAATGTAAGTGCGTACATTGAAAACGAAGCAAGAATTCAAATTAACTACCTAACTTTAAGTCTTATGAAACTAAATAAGGAGAAAAAACTAAACCCAAGTCAGAAGAAGGAAATAATAAGGCTTTGAGCAGAGATAATCAAAATGGAGAATAGAAAATCAAGATAAAAAATAAGTTGATAATTTCCTTTTACAGGGCTGATTCTTAAACTGATCTCTCCTGAGTCCTAATCAGTACTATTTTCACTGCACCTAAACAAAGTGCACCAATTTCCGTGTAACCTAATTAAACCTATTAGCAAAATTTTTATTTGGCAGCTAGAACCATGACAGTAGGTCCAATTTGCAGAGCGCAGTGCAAAAGGAAAATGTAGGCCTCATCTGGCTGTTGAGCAGTCAAACTCTCCTTCCCATGGGCCTCCCTACCCCAACCCATGGCCAATGTGTGACTCCTAAGGACTGCAACCTCTGCAATTAGGCAATTGCTATGGTCACTAATTCTTTTCTCTGCCTCTCTATTGTGCTGTTGAGCACACTCAAAGTTTTGTTTAGTTTTTGTTTATTATATTTTACAGTTTGTTGTAGTTTATTTTGTGCTGGTGTAACAGAATGCTACAGACTGGGTAATTTATAAACAATATAAGTTTTTCTGGCTTACACTTCCGGAGGCTGGGAAGTCCAACATAGAGGGGCTGCATCTGGTGAGGGTCTTCTTGCTGCAGCATAACATGGCAGGAAGTATCACATGGAGAGACATCACATGTGGATGAGAGAGAACAAGAGGGAACCAAACTCACTTTTATACCAAACCCACTCTCATGGTAATGAACCCACTCCATTGATAATGGTATTAATACACTTAAGAAGGCAGAGACCTCATGATCTAATTACTTCTCATAGGTCTCACCTCTTGACACTATTTCATTGGGTACTAACTTTTCAAAACATTAACTTTGGGGGATACATTCAAGCTATAGGACTGTTATACAATTTTTATTTGTTGCTTCTTATATCTTCTATTTTTAGGTTTAAAAATTCTATTTCTTTGCTGGAACTTTGTATTTTGTCATTTGTTCGAAACACTTTGGTAAGTGCTCATTGAAGCATTTTTATTATTGCTGCTTTAGAATCTCTGTCAGATAATACTAACATCTCTTTCTTCTTGGTGATGTCAACCATTGCTTGCCCTTTTTCGTTCATTGTGCAACCTATAGCAGCCTGGATTAGAGATTTCGTATCTGTAAAATGTTGGCCATATTGGAACCCTGATGAAAAAAAGATTGTGCTGATAATTTCTCTTTATTTTTACTTTGTTTCCTCATGTTTGCTACCTTAAGCCACTATAATATTTAGAACTGAAATATTTATGACATTTTAAAAATTTTCATTTTTTAAGAGACAGGATCTCACTGTCACCCATGCTGGAGTGCAGTGGCACAATCATAACCCACAGCAGCTATGAACTCCTGGGCTCAAGCAATCCTCCTCTCTTACCCTACAGAGTAGCTAGGACTACAGGTGCATGCCACCACACCTCTTATTTTTTATTTTTGTAGAGATGGAGTCTCACTATGTTGCCCAGGCTGGTCTTGAATTATTCACCTTCAAGGAATCTTTCCACCTTGGTCTCCCAAAGGGCTGGAATTACATGCATGAGCCACAACAAGTGACATTTATTTAATAGTGTTTTATGGTGCCAATTTAAAATGTTTGGAAGTTGAAAATAATATTTTATGCTTTCATTGCAGGACAGAAGTTTGTAACTTCCATTGTATGTGTGTGCATATGTATATGTATGTGTTTATGTGTGTACATATATAATCAAAATGTATATATTTACATAATATATATTGTATAATATAATGCATTTGAAACAGTTGTTTACTATATATCTACATATATAGTAAGATATCTATGTATACATAGCATTATAAATATATAGTACACTACAGTAATCTATATATATTATATATGTAAGATATATATACATGATAGAAATGTGCAAATTCAACAACGCTTTCTTATGTTGTTGATTCTTATATGATAATAATTAACTCCAGAAATAATGTCAGAGACAAATAAATTTGAGAGACTGATGAAGAGTAAGTCCCCACCTTAGCTTATGGCCTAGGCCTATCAGCTAGACACCGATAAGAAATGATTATGAAATGATATGAGCTGAAGGATAATATATTGTTAGTCAGAAACTGAGATGTAATAAAATGGCAACGTAGCTCTTGCCAAAAGAGAAAAAATTTTTTCTTGAGTTAAATAATTCAGTCATACCTAACTAATAATGCCATGCTTAAACTGAATCTTACTAATAGTAAAGCAAATTAACATAATCACCTATCATTGAAAGTGTTCTTTGCAGATTATTCATGTCATCTTGCAATTATCTTTAAATGTTTATTTAAACCTTTACTTAAAAGTCAATGAGCTTACTTTGCAAGAGGCATAAATCTAATGTTTTGTATTTCGATGTTTTCCAGCCTATGCAATGTCCATCAGGCATGTATTTATGTAATATTATTTGAGATTGAGTTTAAAATTTCAAAGCACATGTTTCCTAGAAGTGGATCTTTAACATAATGACGACTATATTACCAGAAAATATTTTAATCACCATTTGTAAGAATAATATCCCCCAAAAAAGGTCAATTTTATACACAGAATAGCTATTATATTCTTTGTCCCACTATTCTCATCTTCCTCTGGCTTTTTGTCAAATAGGTGCAAGTTGTTAAAGGAGGCTAAGTTATCTCTGCCCATTGTTATCTACTTGCACAATGAGCAGTAGGACATTCCAACTTTATAAGTGTAGAATTCAACATCTACTTTTAAGGTCAAAATATTCACTTGGTTAGTACATCTAGTTGACATATGCCAGAGTGTATCACATTTTTTTTTTATATTCTTAGCCAAAGATATTCATTTCTAAATAAAGAATGTCCTTAAACCACCTCAACCTATAGCTTTTCCACTGAATGTTTATTGGGTTTCTAATGTTTAACTTCAGAAGGTAATGTAATAATGTGAAAGTAAAAAGGCCAATAAAACTATGGCAAAACACTTCCCTTATGCATTTATGCATTGTAATATTATAAACTAAATTTAATGTGACTTTAGAGATGTAATTTTGGCTTTTTAACAATTAGGATGACTAATGAAAAAAGGTATTGTAGAAAACGTAAAAGGGAGTAACAAAAGATTTCAGAAGAACTATATAAAACAGAATTTCAGATGTTAATGACTAAAGACTCCAATAATTAGTAATACTGACAACAGTTACTGTTTACTAGGTGCTTGATGTTAAATTACATAATTCTCACCACAAACTCATAAATTAGAAATTATTTTCCCATTTTAAATGAGAAAAAGAAACTTTATGTGGATTTTTGCCCTAGTCTAAATTTACCCATCTAATAAACTATTTTAAAACTTGTGTTATTTGCTAGTACTCTCTAACAACCTTCTTTGAAATGACTACCTTAGTTATCTACTTGAAAGCACTAATGCAGACAAGACTCAAATTTTCTTCAAGATTTGTAGCACTCTCAAACATCGGGTCCAATTGATATCTGGTATCTGCCAAGTATATTGATAAAACCAAACTGCATAGCACATTGTTCTGATAGGAAACTCTGATAGCTTTTAATAGAAACTGTAATGAGTGACATATTTCTTCACTTTTCTTGAAGTATACCCCTTAGTAATTGTTCATTGAGAAACAGCTGTCATTGATGGACAAGCCTGCATATGGATGATAGTACATGCAACAGGGCTATAAACCACAAACAATAAGGCAGATTGTGATGGTTAATGTTAGGTGTCAACTTGATTGGATTGAAGAATGCCTAGATAGCTGGTAAAGTATTGTTTCTGCGTGTGTCTGTAAAGGTGTTGCCAGAGGAGATTAACATTGCAGTAGGTGGACTGGGAAAGGAAGCAAAACATGGGTGGGCACCATCCAATCCGCTGCCAGAGCAGCTAGAACAAAGCTAGAGGAAGAAGGTGGGATAAACTGACTTGAGTCTTCTGGCTTTCATCTGTCTCCTGTGCCGGATGCTTTCTTCTGTTCCTCCTGCTCTTGAACATCAGACTCCACGTTCTTCGGCCTTTGGACTCACACCAGTGTTTTGCCAGGGGCTCTCAGGCCTTCGGCCACAGACTGAAGACTGACTGCAGTCGGCTGCCCTGCTTTTGAGGCTTTTGGTCTCTGACTGAGCCACTACTGGCTTCTTTCTTCCTCAGGTTGCAGACAGCCTATCGTGGGAATTCGCTTTGTGATACTGTGAGCCAATTCTCCTTAATAAACTCCCTTTCATATATACATATATCCTATTAGCCCTCTGGAGAACCCTAATACACAGATTAATTAGAAAAATTAAATCACTGGTAATTAGTTACATTATGGGCTATTTCCTTTATTCTCATATTATTTATGATGACTGTCAAGTGCATAGTGTCTCAGAGACCTAAAAATGTATAGTTATATAAACTAGACATAAAATATTAATCTGGTACAAGAGAAATAGACTATTAACACTTGAATATCAATTCTTAAGAAAATTAATGAAAATATAATGATAGTATAATTAATGCATGTGTGTGTATCTGATTTTTAAAAATATGTTGCCAATATTCTTTTCCTGTAACAGGTCATTTATGGACATTTCAACATGGCTATAAAGTATATAAAGGGAGTTAATGATGGTGGTAAAATTTAATAAAAAATTTTAAGAAATTTATATTTACCTGATTAAGATTAGATTAAAATCTGTTAAGATTTTATGAAGACTTCAACAAAGATACTGGCCAGGCACGGTGGCTCACACCTGTAATCCCAGCACTTTGGGAGTCTGAGGCAGGAGGACTGCTTGAGGCCAGGATTTCAAGACCCAGCGTGGGCAACATAGGGAGATTCTGTCTCTACAAATAATCAAAAATTAACTAGGTGTACTGGTCCCTGCCCATGGTTCCAGCTACTCAGGCTAAGGTGGGAGGATCAATTGAGCCTGGGAGGTCCAGTCTGCAGTGAAATATGATCACAACACTGCACTCCAGCTTGGGCAAGAGAACAAGATCCTGTCTAAAAAAATAATGTAAATAAAAATAAAAGATAAATGCCATGTTAATGTTGACGGTTCAATCTCTGATTTTCTGTGGATAATGTTATTCATTGTTTCTTATTTAAAATCTTTTGTTTCCATTTCAAAGTAGCCATATCCTTCCCTAAACAAGTAAAGAGATTTGAAACAAAATAATTCCTGGATTAGTAATTTTACTTCTAAGAGCCTATTATTTGAAAATTGCCTGAAAACATCATAAACACACACACACACACACACACATACATTTTTATCACAAAATGGCTTATGATAATCAAAAATGGAAAAAAATAAACTGTACCCCAAAATAGGCAAAATGCATACATACAAGTCATCAATTAGATGAGATGTTATGCAGTCACTTACAACCACATATACAAAGAATTTGCAACATCATGAAAAATGATCAGAAATAATATTAAATGATTAAGAGTATATTTCATGTATAGTGAGTGTAATCTGAGCTACAAATATATATAACACTAATAAAATACACTAAATATTATTTATATTTCAAAAAACTCAAGATTTTAAAATACTATGTTTTAATGTGAATGGACACAAAACTTTTCACTAATATTTTTGTCATTCCTAGCTTAAAGTATATGCGTGTTAAAATTGTCAATGTAAAAAAACCCTTTAGGTTGTGAATGACTCTAATCCAAATATGCCAAAGCTTATCTTCATATTGAACCTTATAGCTTCTAGTAAGTAATACTTACTTTCCTCTAATATCGTAAGTTTTTAGTAGTTTATTAAGGTTACCTCTATTATGTAAAACATAATTGTTCCATTTTATAAATTGATCATCAGATTATCATTAATAATCTGACATATATCAAGTAACCTTGAAACATGTGATTTCATAATTCTCTAACTTATAAACGAATATTAATAAAACACATATATAATGTATACTTCTATAATATATAAATTTTTACAAACCTTTAGCTAGACACATATGTAATGTAATATATATAATATAATATTATATTACATAATACATAATATATAATATATAATATATAATATATAATATATAATATATAATATATATTGCTCTGTGGCCCAGGCTGGAGTGCAGTGTCAGGATCTCGGCTCACTGCAACCTTGGCCTCCTGGGCTCAAGCAATTCTCATGCTTCAGCCTTCCGAATAGCTGGGAATATAGGCGTGCACCACCACACCTGGCTAACTTTTGTATTTTTAGTACAGATGGGGTTTTGCCATGATGGCCAGGCTGGTCAATATGAGCTCCTAGTCTCAAGTGATCCCACCTCAGCCTCCAAAAGTGCTCGGATTACAGGCATCAGCCACTGTGCCTGACCATACATATTTTTAAATACAGATTTGGAATGAAAAAATATATTATTTTTTCTCTGTAAACAAAGTCACAAAGTATCCCAGCGTGTCCGGAATTGGTGGGTTCTTGGTCTTGCGGACTTCAAGAATGAAGCTGCAGACCCTCACGGCGAATGTTACAGTTCTTAAAGATGGTATGTCCGGAGTTTGTTCCTTCTGATGTTCAGACTTGTCCGTAGTTTCTTTCTACTGGTGGATGTGTGGTCTCACTGGCCTCAGGAGTGAAGCTGCAGACCTTCATGGTGAGTGTTACAGTTCATAAAGGTGGCGCCTCCGGAGTTGTTCGTTCCTCCCGTCTGGAGTTGTTCCTCCCTCCTGGTGGGTTCCTAGTCTCGCTGGCTTTAGGAGTGAAGCTTCAGACCTTCGTGGTGAGTGTTACAGCTCTCAAAGGCGGCACGGACCCAAAGAGTCAACAGCAGCAACATTTAGCAGGAAGAACAAAGGAACTAAGCTTCCACAGCATGAAAAGTTGCTGTTGCTGGCTGAGGTGGCCTGCTTTTATTCCTTTATCTGGCCCCACCCACATCCTGCTGATTGGTCCATTTTACAGAGAGCTGATTGGTCCAATTTGAGAGAATGCTGATTGTTGTGTTTACAAACCTTCAGCTAGACACAGAGTGCTGATTGGTGCGTTTACAATCCTTTGGCTAGAGGAAAAGTTTTCCAAGTCCCCACCCATCCCAGAAGCCCAGCTGGCTTCACCTGTCACTGGCAGTCACCCGTGGGCACTCCGGCAGCCCAGAAGGAGCTCAGCCCTGATCAAGCCCAGCAGGTGCCGGCAGGCCATGCCCACCCGGAACCCAAGCCAACCCGCGAGTGCTGCACTCAGCCCCAGCTCCCCGCTGCGCCTCCCCCTCCACACCTCCCCGCAAGCAGAGGGAGCCGGCTCTGGACTCGCCAGTCCCAGAGCGGAGCCCCCACAGCGCAGTGGCGGGCTGAAGGGCTCCTTGAGTGTGGCCAGAGCAGAGGCTGAGGCCAAGGAGCTTCCCAGAGCAAGCGAAGGCTGCTAGCACGTTGTCACCTCTCACCAGGTTATTCAAATAAAACTTCTGCAATATATACTAATGGTAGACTGGAGTCAGCGTGATCAATGCTCAAATATAGGCTCTGCTACTTACTATTTGTGGGATTATGAGCATATGAAAATAGATAATATAGTCAAGCTCTCAAGTTTGCTATTTATAATTAAATAAAATATTGCATATGAATTGCCTATATATTAAAATTCAGTAAGGCAGCAATCGATGAAGTATATCATCATCCTCATCATCATCATCAATACTATGTTCAGATTTGGTTTGTTACTTACAATTCGACACCTTTAACTTAGAACTAAGAGAAGATGCAAATTAAATATCCAAAGAGGAGATACATTTCACTACATGCCCTGAAGTCAGCAAAAGTATAGTAAAATAATACTATGAAAGTCTCTATATACATAAATTTGACAAACTAAATAATATTGACCCATCCTAAAAAAACAAACTGTCACAACTCGCCCAATATAAAATAAATAATTTGAATAGCCCCATCATATTAAGTATACTGAATTTGTAATTTCAAATACTCCCACAAAAGAACCTCCAGACCAAGATGGTTTCATTAGAGAATTCTATCAAATTTCTGAAGAATTAATACCAATTCTCCATAATCTATTTCATAAACTGAAACATTACAGAATATTTTCTAATTCATTTTATGAAGCAAGCATTATCCTAATACCAGAACCAGACAAAGACAGTACATAGAAAGAAAACTATCTCTCGTGGATATGCACACAAACTCATCCACACCCAGACACAAGTTTCAGAAAACCTTTACTGCATTCGTAACAGTATGGTTATCACCTTGATATTTTCTATATTGTTATTGCCAGTTGTATTTGAATTTTTACCTGTTATTTTAGGTTTGGGTGTACATATGAATGTTTGTTACATAGGTAAGCACATGTCATGTGGGTTTGTTGTACACATTATTTCATCACCCAGGTATTAAACCCAGTACCCAATAGTTGTCTTTTCTGCTCCTCTTTCTCCTTCCTCCCTACCTCCTCAAGTAGACCCCAGTGTCTGTTGTTTCCTTCTTTGTGCTGATAAGTTCCCAGAATGTCTATCATTAAAAAGTAAAGGCCAGGCACAGTGGCTCACACCTGCAATCCCAGCACCTTGGGAGGCCGAGGCGGGCAGATCACCTGAGGTCGGGACTTTGAGACCAGCCTGACCAACATGGAGAAACCCCATCTCTACTAAAAATACAAAATTAGCTGGGCATGGTGGCACATGCCTGTAATCCCAGCTACTCGGGAGGCTGAGGCATGAGAATTGCTTGAACCTGGGAGGCAGAGGTTGTGGTGAGCAGAGATTGCACCATTGCACTCCAGCCTGGGCAACAAGAGCGAAACTCCATCTAAAAAAAAAAGAAAAAGAAAAAGAAGTAAAACAAGCAAACAAAAAAACAATGAATTCTGGTGAGGTTGTAGAGAAAATAAACACTTATAAACTGACGGTAGAAATGTAAACTAGTTCAGCCACCGTGAAAAGCACTTAGGCGATTTCTCAAACAACTTAAAACAGAACTAACATTTGACCCAGCAATCCCATTACTTCGTATATATGCAAAGGAAAATAAATCATTCTACCAAAGAGACACATGCATGCATATATGTTAATCACAGCACTATTCACAATAGCAAAGACATGGAATCAACCTAGATACCTGTAATGATGGACTGATTAAAAAAATGTGGTACATATGCACCATGGAATACTACGCAGCCATCAAAAAGTTAGTCATGTCCTTTGCAGCAACAGGATCTACCCATAGACCATAATCCTAAGTGAAGTAACGCAGAAACATAAAACAAAATGCCCCTGCCTCAGCCTCCTGAGCAGCTGGGACTACAGGTGTGCACCACCACGCCCGGCTAATTTTTTGTATATTAGTAGATACGGGGTTTCATAATGTAAAATGCTTTTATGTACGCTTAAAAAGAAGAAAAGAAAAATAATAATAGACATTCTGTCTGGTGTGACGATCTCATTGTGGTTTTAGTGTGCATTTCTCTACTGATTAGTGATGATGAACATTATTTCATAAATTTGTTGACCACATATATGTCTTCTTTGGAGAAGCGTCTCTTTGTCTTTTGCCCATTTTTAATAAAGATATTTCTTTTTTGTTCCTGAATTATTTAAGTTTCTTATAGATTCTGGATATTAGACCTTTCTTAGATGCATAGCTTATGAATATTTTCTCCCATTATTTAGGTTGTCTGTTTAATCTGTTGACAGTCTCCTTTGTTGGGCAAAACCTCTTTAATTAGGTCCTACTTGTCAAATTTTGTTTTGGTTGTAATTGCTTTTGAGGACTTAATCAGAAATTCTTTGCCAAAATTGATATTCAGAATGGTATTTCCTAGATTTTCTCCTGGGTTTTGTTTTAGGCCTTACATTTAAGTTTTTTAATCCATCTTGAATTAATCTTTGCATATGGTGAATGGAAAGGGTTTAGAGTCAGTCTTCTGCATATGACTAGCCAGTTATCCCAGCACAATTTATTGACTATGGAGCCTTTTGCCCATCATGTATTGTTGCCAAATTTGCTGAAGATCAGGTGGTTGGTAGATGAATAGCTTCATTTCTGGGTTCCATAACCTGTTCCAATGGTCTATGTGTCTATATGTTGTATCAGTATCATGATGTTTCGGTTATTGTAGCCTTGTAGCATAGTTTGCAGTTTGGTAGTGTGATTCTTCTGTCTGTTCTTTTTCCTTAGGACTGCTTTGGCTATTTGCACTTTTTTGGGGGGGTGGGGGTTCCATATGAAGTTTATCATAGATTTTTCCAATACTGTGAAGAATGATGTTGGTACTTGGACAGGAATAACTTTGGATCTGTAAATTGCTTTCGGTGGTATGGCCATTTAAGCAATATTGATGCTTCCTATTCATGAGCATGTAATATTATTTTTCCATTTGTTTGTGTCATATCAGATTTCCTTCAGCAGTGTTTTGCAATTCTTATTGTAGATATGTTTCACCCCCTTGGTAAGCTATATTCTTAGTTATGTTGCTCTTTTTCTTTTTTATTGTACAGTTTCTCCCAACAAGAGGTATAATCTATTTTCCCTTCTTTTGACTCTGAACCTGCATTGTGACTTGCTTTGACCAATCAAATGCAGGATAAGTAACTATGTACCACTTCTGAGCCTGAGCTTTAAGTTTCCTAGGCTTCTATTTGTTCCCTGAAAACTTGTCCAGTTGCCTTGTGAACAAGCCTGTGCATAAGGCTGCTGGAGGATGAGAGACAACATAGAGCAAAGATATACTGTTCCAGCTCAGTTTCCTAAACCAACCAGCCCCCAGTCAACCCAACAGCTGGCCATGATGCCAAGGATGAACCCACATGGAACCAACCAACTCAGAATAGTTTGCTTTTTCAACTAGCACAATAATTAATTAAAATTGTTGTTATTTTAAGCCATATAGCATTGGAGTACATTGTTACACAGAAGAAAAACCTAACTGATACACTACAAAAAAAATTAAGTATTCCTATGTTTAGTTATCCCTCTTCATGTATCTCAATAGATTTACAGTACAATGACCTCGGTTATACCAAAACTTGTTCCATATGCTTATAAGCCAAGTATTTTTGTCTAGAGGGATACCTGTTGTTAGGGGGATCTCTAAATGCTGCTGCTGTTAATGTTTGTCCTAAGAAACATTCAGGCTAAAGGCAAACTGGTAGTAATAGAGATTAATGTGGGATATCTGGTAGTGAAAGGTGTCCCCTTATTGTACATTGAAGAAGCTTTAGCTAGGGCATAAACAAACAACTGTAAAAGTAAATATTGTTTGTGTGTAAACCTTACCAAAATAAATAGAAAGGAGTAAACACATCTGTTAAACTTATCACTTAGCATTAAATAGCTACAAAGAGAAGTTATTTGACAAAATTCAACTGCCTTTTTTGAGTTCAAATTGATTTTTGAACCCAGTTAAAGTATCGTTTTAAGGTATTGCTTAGGTATATATCACAGAAAAGAAATTATGGGGACTTACCTTCATGAGAAGCAAGACAGATTTTAGACTTTAATGTCAAATTGTGATTTTAACAAAAATTAAGTTGAAGAACACTTGACAATATTTCTTTTCCACCTAATTATTATATTTTCTTCAAATAAATTAGGCCTAGAAAGCATAATATAATAGATGCAAAATATTTCTCATAGGAAAACATAAGTTGGTCTTCAAAACTGAAATAAGTATCAAAAAAGGTATTTATGCTTTCATAGTCACATAAAACTTTAGCCAAAAAGAGTAATAGTGCTTAAATAAAACCCAAAATAATTTGAAGATATTAGGTGCCCTGATAACACTTTGAGAGAGCCATACTCTATCTGGTTTCTGATATTAGGTTATGACGGCTTTCAGAAGATCCACTGATTATAAAAAGAATTAAAACTAATGAAAATGAAAATGATGGTGGAATCATTTGATTTAGAATAGTAACACATTTTCAGACACTAAAGGCAATATAATTACATTAGAGGTTTTAAAAAAGACACAACATTCATTACACTGGTTATGACATGCTCTTGTTTCAACATATTAATATAAGGAAATTTAATTGAATAGAACAGTATTTCCTGGTTCAGAATCCTCTGCATTAGCTGTTCCAGAAAGATGCTGCTCTCTTCAAGTAGAAAGCAGACTTTTGTCACTGCCTTCTAAATATATTACTTTCACATATATGCTTTCTAAAACATGGATAAATGAGAACAAATCCAGAACCAAGAGTTCTCCAGCTATTGTAAAGAACCATCTACATTGGAATTATCTTGCGTGCTATTTAAAAATGAGGATTCCATTTCTATTCAAAGAAGAAAATCAAATAAACAGGTAATAGAGACTGAGATAAACTTTGCAGTGTTGATGACCAATAAAAGATTAATATCTAATACATGCAAATAATTCTCCCAAATCCACCATAAAAAGACAGAAGGTGCAAAAGAAAACACAGTAACACAAAAAACAGGCAACCAATATGAATAAATTGTTCACTGTTTGATCACTAGTTGCCTAGTGCAAAGCTTGGCAGAAAATAGTCGCTTAGATAATACTGAGTGAATGGAGGGGGTCACAGAAATGACCAACAATTATGTGAAAAGATGGTAAACATCACCAGTAATTGAAATGGTGAAATGTAAAGCAACACATGTGCTGCGTTAGTATTACTAGGAGGAAAATGGAAAGTCAAGTAGTTTCAAATGGTGAAGGTTGGGGGAACAGCAACCCTTAATATATAGTCATTGGGAATTAAAACTGCTGTGGCCATTTTGGAAGTCATTATCAAAGTATTTAGTACAATTGAGGATTCTTATGATTGAGTAACTCTATGCCTGGGGGAAATATTTAAAAAGAAATAAACTTCTGCCAGGAGCACAAAGAGCTATGAATTATCTTGCTCAGTTAGAAAAAAAAAACAAACAGAGAAGTAATCTGTGGTAACAGAGATAGAGACAACATAGATGTCCATCTATAGCATTTCAATTTCATGCTAGCTATTGGTGCCACATAGTTTTCTGAGATCTAGAGTTGGGCATAATATGTGCAAGAATACACACAGAGCAAAAGTAAAATTGGGAGCCTGCTTGACATAAATCTGAACATTAAATGTTATACTGTTAAATGAGTGTTATATCTTCCTGCAGTGACAAGTACACCTTTAAAACAACCAACTGGAAAATTATGTGTATTCATCTGTCAAGGCTTTAGTGTTTATTTCATACAGACTGTGAGGTGGTTAGGGAAAGAGAAGGAAGTTGGTTCAGCCACATCTGGAATTGAGCTCAGTTTGGATTTTGTTGTTGCTATGGTTACTTTCATTGTACCACAAACTTCAAATTCCTCCAGCAGTGAGTCTGCTGCTACCTCTTGCTTAGTGTGAATCCTAGAGTGCTGGAGAGTTTTGTCAATATGCTTGCTTCACCCTCAACTTTCAAAGGATCATGAATAGTTCTGTTAATTCTGTAGGAGTCTCTCTCTATGATCATACAACTTTCAGCAGTAGACTTCTGTGTCTGGTCATTCAGAGTTAGGCTCATGATGTAGGAGGAGACTTGGTTCTCCTAATCAAATATAGGCCTTACATTTCTTTAAAAATGATTGTTTAGGCCGGGCGCGGTGGCTCACGCCTGTAATCCCAGCACTTTGGGAGGCTGAGGCGGGCGGATCACGAGGTCAGTAGATCGAGACCATCCTGGCTAACACGGTGAAACCCAGTCTCTACTAAAAATATAAAAAAAATTAGCCAGGCATGGTGGCAGGCAACTGTAGTCCCAGTTACTTGGGAGGCTGAGGCAGGAGAATGGCGTGAACCCAGGAGGCGGAGCTTGCAGTGAGCCGAGATCACACCACTGCACTCCAGCCTGGGCGACAGAGTGAGACTGTGTCTCAAAAAAAAAAAAAAATTGTTTAATTATATTTCATTTCTCGGCAAAATAACACCATTTTTGAAACCCTCAACTTTCAGTTTGGCTCCCAAGAGACTTATTTACTTTTATTTTCTGAGAATTAGCCATAACAAAATAAATATAGGTTTTCTTAATTTACATTATACATATATATAACATGTTATAATATGTCTATGAGCTGAAATATGTTGGCAAAATTGTATACTAAACATTTTGTACGTGTAATGCTAAATTCAAGGGACATTCTGGGTTACTTGTTTATATTCCTTCTATTGTTATTGGCTACTCAAATAACTTAGGCAAGATGCATTATGGAATGGCATAAATTTATCTCTAATAAAATTTCTAATATTCTAATAAATGATAACTTTTTAATTCTTAAGAACACTGATAGACTAGAAACTTTAGATACCTAAGCCTTGAGAGAGTTTTTGGGTACCAAGTTATACGTCTGTGAATATTGGCAAATGAAGGAGAAGCGTGACCAGTTTGGACAGCAATATTTGTGCTTCTCTTGGTCACACAATGATTTTTACTAAAGTGCATAGAAAGCATAAACTTGAAGCCCAGAAAAAGAAGCAAAAATAAAACTAAAAACAACAAACCTCATAGGACACAATTGTATCATTAACATGAATTGATGATATTTTTGGCCATTCACTTGATCTATACTGATTCAACTAGAGTATGGAAATAGTTTGCTGAGATTAAAGAAAGTCAGAGCAAGTACAGAATAGTGTCCTTACCTGGCTTCTCCTCTGATCCATTAAAAACACATTTAAGAAAAACCACACCTTTGATCAGGCACGGTGGTTCACATCTGCAATTCCAGCATTTTGGGAGGCTGAGTCAGGTGGACCCTTGAAGCCAGGAGTTCAAGACCAGCCAGGCCAACATGGAGAAACCCCATCTCTACTAAAAATACAAAAATTAGCTGGCCATGGTCGCAGTGAGCCGAGATCACGCCACAGAACTCCAGCCTGGGTGACAGAGCAAGACTGTGGTCTCAAAACAAAACAGAACAAAACAAAAGAAAACACACACCTTTAACAGTAACTTAATATTTTGTTTCTTACTTAATTATATCAACTCAGCGGAAGTCTTATTAGAAATGTTACCCTTAAATTACAGAAAATGAATGAAGTCAACCTGATGCACAAAATTAGTAGAGTCAAAATCAGAGACAGCCTTAAATGAAATGTCATGAGACACTTGATTCGTCTCTACACAATGAATGGATTTTTGACTATTTCCAATTGTTTCACCATCTCTTAAATGCCATGTACCACATGTTCTCTATTCTTAAAGTACATGGTGAGAAGATGAGACTCCAATGCAGAGCTCTTTTCCAAGTGGTTGAGAAGACAGTGCTCACAATTATCCATCCATTCAAATGTAGAAAAATATGAGTTAGAAGTTGTTGCTTTATTGTTTACTAATTCATTGTTTTGAAAATTATAAATCCTTGTAGAGATATAATACATTAATATTAAATTCTACAAAATGTTGAGCTTTCACCTTCTAAACAAGAATCATACATGGGCTTAAGGGAAAAAGAACAACAAAAATACTTTGGGAAATAATTATGTTGTTTCAAAATACTATATATATGTATATATACCAACATTGATTGAAAATATATACTTTCCTAGAATCAGATGCAGACGTGCAAATAATTTTTATATTTAAGATAATATTAATGGTATCATCCACCTATAAATTAACAATTGTTTCTTTCTTCTTACTATCTATGATCTTTGTTTCTTCTCCAAATTTCAGTGATCTATTTTCAGAGACAATTTCATTCAGCAATATCTCTGCATTTATAATTATGTTTTGTTTTGCTTTATTTTAATTAATATGAAATAAAGGTTAGACTGAATAAAAGTAAGACAAGATTGGTTATTAGTTTTAAAATGCCAGATAACAATGGTCAAGTTTTCTTTTTGCCAATCTTAACAAATCTTTTCTCTGTGTAAGCAGGAATCAAATCTGCATGTTATTTTATCAACTGGATTTACATTATCTGCAAAGAGTTAATGTTTTTTTTTGTCAGAAACAATGTTAAAGTTCAAAATTCTATCCATGCACAGAAGCAACAAGTTGTGTTTGATTGAAATGTAGTTGGTCATCCATTTTAAGTGTAATTGTTAATGTTATAATTAACATATAGTTATTGAAAAATAGGAAACAGAAACAAAATAATACATCCAGGGATTGCCAAGAACTTAACTGAAGGACACACACACACATACACACACACTCAAAAGATTAGTAAAAATAAAATATAATTATATTTAGATAAACACAGCCAAAATGGCAAAAACAGGTATTACAATGAAATATGATAATTTTATATATATATAATATATATATGCCTGAATATTTACATAAAATGTAACATGAGATTTCATTAGAGTTAAGGAAGAAGTTCAGGATTAATCTACCGTAATGGAAAAATAAAGCAGAATCAGATAGCGCTGACTGAATAAGAGCATTTCTAATAGAAAATAAATTCTATCTTGATGTGATTTTTGATATGATATTTTCTGCCAGTCAAGACTCTCAAAGTGGCATATTGATTTTTGTCCAAGAAAGATATATACTGCATTTATATTTTCATTGTGACATTTTTAAACACACATATAAATACCAAAGTACATCCTCTTTCCTAAGAAGTATTATATTTGATCAACTCTAATGTAATTTATCAAGACCTGTGTAGCAAAGTAGAAATTTAGACATCACCATTCAAATGTTCTTAAAATGATAATTTTCTGTATATTTTCCTCTTGATCTCTTAGTCACATTTCTGCTAATGGGAATGTGGCGGTTGAAGAGCACAAAATAATAATAATAAAAAAAAAACAGGAAAACTTAAGCCTGACATTTATAAAATCCCCAGACCGTTATTTTGTGGATATTGACAAACTGATTCTAAATTGTATGTGGAAAAGCAAAAGACCCAGAGGAGACAACGGTACACTGAAGGAGAAGAAAAAATAGGAGAACTTACATTAGCTGACTTCAGGACTAATAGCTAAGTCAGAATAATCAAGACAGTGTAGTATTGGTAAAATGATAGACATACAGGTAGAATAGAGAGCTCTGAAATAGATTCATACAAATATAGTCAACTGATCCGTGACAAAAATATGTGAATGTGCTTCAGTAGAGAAAGTATAGACTTTTAAAAAGTAGTGTTGGAACAAACATTCACATGCAAACAAAAACAAAAACAAATCTAGACACAGGTCTTATATCTTTCATAAAAATTAACTTTAGTGGACCATAAACCTAAATATAGAACAAAACTATTACACTTTAAAAGACAACATAGGAGAAAATCTAGGTGATCTTGGATTTGGCAATGACTTCTTAGCTACAACACCAAAAGCAAAATCCATAAAATAAAAAATATATATAGTTGAGCTTTATTTAAATTAAAAACTTCTGCTCTGAAAAATACAAGAGAATGAAAAGATAAGCCACAGAGTGGGAGAAAATCTTTTCAAAGGACATACCTGATAAAGGACTGATATTCAAATACACATAATAAACTATTTGAACTTAAAGATAAGAACACAAACGACCTAATTAACACATTAGCAAAACATGTGGCAGGCACCTGACCAAAGAAGACACATAAATGGCAAATAAGCCTATGAAAAGGTGTTCAGCAACATATGCTATTAGTGAACTGAAAATTAAAACAACAAGATACTAATACATATCTATTAGAATGGCAAAAAAAAAAAAAAAAAAAAAAAAAACCTCCAATCACACCAAATGCTGGCAAAGAGGTGGAGTAATAGGAAGTCCTTTGCATTGCTGGTACTAATGCAAAGTAATACAGGCACTTTGGAAGACAATGTCATAGTTTCTTTCAAAACTATTTACCCAAATATGTTAAAAACTGACATCCCCACAAACACGTGTGCAAAAATGTTTATAATAATCTTTTTCATAATTTCCCAAACCTGGAAGTAACCAATATGTCCTTCACTAAGTGAATGGATAAACACAGTGTTGTATATCCATATAGTAAAATATTATTTAATGATAAAAAGAAATGGGCTATCAAGCCATGAAAATACAAAAAAGGGCTGGGCGCGGTGGCTCACGCCTGTAATCCCAGCACTTTGGGAGGCCGAGGCGGGCGGATGACCTGAGGTCAGGAGTTTGAGACCAGCCTCAACATGGAGAAACCCCATCTCTACTAAAAATACAAAATTAGCCGGGAGTGGTGCTGCATGCCTGTAGTCCCAGCTACTCGGGAGGCTGAGGCAGGAGAATTGCTTGAACCTGGGAGGCAGAGGTTGCGGTGAGCCGAGACCGCGCCATTGCACTCCAGCCCGGGCAACAAGAGCGAAACTCTGTCTCAAAAAAAGAAAAAAAATGAAAATACAAAAAGGAATCTCAAGTACATATTGTTAAGTGAAAGAAACTGAAAATGCTGTGTAGTACTTGATTTTAACCATATGACATTCTGGGTGGGAACGGCCAAACTATGGAGATATTAAAGGATCTGCAGTTATCAAGGGCTTTCAATGGAGTTAGAAAAGGATGAATAGATGGTACACAGGGAAGCTTTAGGGCAGTAAAACTATTGTGTATGATACTATAAGAGTAGATACATGTTATTAAACATTTGTCAAAACACATACTATATGCAAGAGTGAACTCTGATGTCACTATGGAGTTTAATTATAATGTATCAATATTAGCGCATCCATTATAATCAATGTATCACAAAAACTAAATATGTTAATAACAAGATAAATTGCTAATTGCTGGGGGTCAGAGTGGACGGTGACATGGAGTGTATTACAACTCTGTACTTTTCTCTCAATTTTCCTGTAAACCTAAAAACTTCTCAAAAATAGAGTTTATTAATATTTTTAAATTGAAATTTATAATATCAATGATTTCTCACAATTGGTAAGGTACAGACTTAATCTCTCCCCACATGTTTTTCCAAACACATTTCTGGCATTGGCTTGCTTCTTTACTCATTCTGTCCCCAGGTAATGGAGGATGATTTAACTAATTGGTGAAACTGAGAAGAATAACTTAGCTTCATTTTTTTTCCCTGCTTGGAATTACATTACTCTTCCAGAGTGTTCCCTTCATCAACACATATCTGGTGGGTACTGGTTCAATACTGCCTTCTACTGGCCAAGACCTTCTACTTCTGGCATTCAGTAGGTAGCACTTGTGGATTTTACGCTAAGCTGCACCCATCACTTTTGATTTTTATCATCTATAAGGTGATATCTTGGTTCTTGAATAGCAATGTCTTTATTTTTCAATTTGTTCAGAAATTAGGCAGTGGGATATAGGTGCAATTTATTAAGGGACATGTAAAACTCCTCAGAAGGCATTCCTGATAAAGCAAAACTGTTTTTTCCTAAGGCAAGTATTCCTTCTACACTTTGGAGTAAAAGTCATAATTCACTATTTTCTAAAAATTTAGTATTAGAAAAATGTGAGAAAGCATCTAAAGAATTAAACATTTTCCATGGTAGAAGTGGAAAACAAAGCATAAAACCAAAAACAAAACCTGTTGTTCCAAATCCGGTGATAAGTAATGTTCACAGACAAGAGCAAAAGATTTAACTATCCTGGACTGCAGGGCTTTGTATAACATGAATCATGACATTTAAAGATTATTTTAGATTGTATTCTAGTATGCTTATTTTATTCATAATCTTATTTTTAATTTTTTAGTAATGTCCCTGAGTCACAATATTAATAATCTTATTGAAAACCCTACCTCATTGCTATAGAAGTGTTTTCTTACCACATTTTTCCTTTTCTTTGATCAAATACTCTAATATGGCGTTTCAATTTCCATTACAAAAAGAACCAAAGTAATTTTACTTGCATTTGACAATTAGCCAAATGCTTTTAAGTAATAGTCTGCTTTAAAATCTAGTAGTGAGCATCAATGAATATCAGTGCATTCTTTATTCCTAGGACCCAGAAGAAACTACCAAATTAAGTTCTATGCTAAAAGGAAAGAATATTAACTGGTATCTCAGGATACAAGAAGAATTAAATATTTAACTACACAATGTGTGATCTCTTTTTACAGTAATTCTTAATGACAGTAATTTATGTCTGATGTACATTGGCAGTCATCTAATTTTCTTTTTTGTGCTTTTTGTTTATCTGCCTGAATGAGAACCACCTTTTATGATCAAGTGAATATATGCCATGAAAGAATGTTCCTAAAATAGATTCAAGGTGTAGCATACTGTTGTTCAAACAACTTTCCCGTTAATTTCTACATATCCAGAGGGGGAAAAAAACAGCAATGGTTTTCTATCCAGGAACCATTAAACATAGGAGCTTAAAATGCCTATTTTTTAATACTAAAACTTCTTATTATCAGATTATCTTTCTTAACTATCAGATGTTAAGTCCCAAGTATGTGCTTTCAATAGCACTGAAGGCGTAACCCTGTGAGCAAGGTTG
The DNA here is from genome assembly GCF_000001405.40 of Homo sapiens. Lineage (NCBI taxonomy): Eukaryota > Metazoa > Chordata > Mammalia > Primates > Hominidae > Homo > Homo sapiens. The sequence goes on along the minus strand of NC_000024.10, from coordinate 3,059,571 downwards.
CTGGTCCTCCAATAAGTTCTCAGAGCACAAATCTCTGTTTCTTCAACTCAGGTTTGACTTACATTATGTGCTTCCTAGCTCTTCTTCATCAACCTCTTTATCAGCCCCAAACATACCAGCTATGCCAACCTATTTGAATTTTCCCTAAAATGTTTTCAGCTTCATTGCTCTCATGCGAGTGCTAGTAACTCAAAGGTAACTTGCCTGATAGGTAACACATAATAAAGCAATTATGTTTCATTTATCCTTCAGCTCAACCTTCCTCATAGAAAAAATGCCTAATTAAAAGTTAAATCTGAAATCTTCTGATATCAGAAAATAAATGATAGTTAAGTTAGTGTAGATATTACAGATAATCCACTTTGGGCAAATATACGTAACACCCTGAAAATTGTGTGTAGTTTGTTTACTGTTACAGATCATATAAACGTTCCCAGAAAGCTTGATACTCATTAGCAAATGATTTTGCACAGTTAACACTTCTTCTATAATGGCAAAAACTCTAAATTTAGCTACTTGAATACTAGATTTCCCAAAGCAGATATAACCACATTGTTTTAGAGCTCACAATTGCATGCACTAGGATTCTAAAGAACTCAGGCTAAATTTTGAATGTAGATCTCCATTTCACAGTCGATAGGGGAACTGAAATAGCCTCTATGGTTCTGAATAGCTCCTAGGATAGGTTTAAAAAATATTTCCCGGAAACTAAATGCACAAATGTAAACAGTAGATTATGGCAATGGCCTCCAAAGAGGCTTTCTTGGCACAGCACTTAAAAACTTACAGGTGAACATATTGTTAGTTTCCACTCCATGACCAACTCCATTTAGCAACAATACATGTTCATTTTTCTATAAATCTGGTCCCTGTGATGGTAAATCCAGCACAGGAAATGACTCTCAGCAGGAATACCTGTAAGTACAAAAAACAGGATATCTTGCCACAACTCAGATCAGACAAAATTACATTGGGGAAATTGCAAGGTCAGTGTGCAAGTAAAACTAAATCTTTAGTTTCATCTCTCACTTCCTATTTGCCAGCTTTCATAATCATTTCTTTATCTGTTACCCAGTACTTAGTTAATTTTTTATTTTGGCACACATAGTAGGGACTCAATAAATACTGTTGACTAAATGTCAGTTCCTGCTCCTTGTCTTGGGCTATGATAAATTCAGTCTTTACCTATACTTTTGTTTTCTCTTGACTCTGATATAGTATTCCTGTCATAAGCTTGTTATTTTCTAGAATATTAATATTCTCTAATCCAGTCTTCTCTATTCTAATAGTTTAAATCTTTTCCAGCCGTAATTACTTTCCTCCACACTTGACTGACTGATCTCATTTCACCATTCTTGTAGCCTCATAAATTTCACCTAGGCCTTACATAGGAATATTTATTTGATCTTCTGGAAAGCATTTATAGGCCATTTTAGATTATCTTCTCAGTTTAATAAGAATGCTGTCTGACAAGAAAAGAGGAATATGCACTACAAAAAAAGCACAGGGAACCCAGTGTCTACCACAGTGTCAGTCATAAGACTTCATTAAATTACTTATTCATTCACTTCTTCTGCTGTCACATATTAACTAAGAAACTACTATCTCTTAATCATACTGATGAGTGCTTCATTCAAGAAATATATAAATGACTAGAATGTCACCCGTTCTCTCTGGTAGCTCAATCTGAAAGAGACAAATACGTCTACAAATAACTACAATGTGTTAAGTTCTATAATACAGATTTGCAAAAGTTCTGTGGCAACATATATGTTCCCTCTTTGAAGAAATGAAAGGAGGCATCTCAAAGGAAATGGAATTTAGTTGAGCTGAAGGATAAGAATTAGATTGCACTGTATTAAAAGTTGGTGAAGGGCTTCCCAGGCAAAGAAAGAGCATGTGCAAAGAGCATGGCACTCATGAGAATGATTTTTTCAGAAAAAAGGAAAACAATATTTGTAGCCATTGGATGAGGTAAAAGGGAGGTAACATTTAGAGAAAAGGCAAAAAAAAAAAAAAAGTCAGATTTTGACATTATTTCAGAGAGCCTATATAGAAAAGAACAAAATCTGGACTTTGTGCTGTGGATTATAGATAGGCAATATCAGTTGTTTTGCAGTTTTCATTTGTAGAAAAATGACCTGAATCCTGCTACATAAGATAATTTAAATACAGAAGGGATTTTTTTTTTAGAAAAAAAGATGATAAAACAATTTTGGTCTTTTCCTAGCAGGAGGATTATTGACAAATGTCAAGTTTCAAAATTTGCCCTCAGAATATTTTTATTGTGCAAAGAAAAATAATGGTGACTAAGTAGCAATAAGCAATTTTTATTAGAAACCGTTGTAAAGAAAATGTGAACAGAAGCAGAAAATAGGGAAAGGGGCAACAAGAGATAATGGATGCAATGTCAAGAAGAAAGAAGGAAGAAAGTCCAAAATGATTAAAGGAGATGTAACTATTGTTCATGCCCTGATTTTTACTAGTTTTTTTTCTATCCTTGAATCTGCAGTGTTTCTAAGCAAAGACTCAAGTATTTATATGGCAAAGGTAACAGCCTCCAAAATGTTTAAGGATAGATTTTATGTCTTCTTCTCTTTACTTCATGTCATTCTACCACCAATAAATATAATAGTTTTATTTATTTTATTAATATAGTTATTATTATAATTACTGGGACTAACTGAAGTACTACTATATGCCAGGTAAGCTTCTTTACACACTTTATTTCTGTTTATTTTAAAAATAATATTCCAAGTTAGTTTTCATGCTCCTTAATTTCTTATCTAATTGATTATCAAGTGGTCTGGGTAAAATCTGAAATATGTCTAATGATACCTCTCCTTTCAAGTGACACTGTCATTTTCCTTGTTTAGGCCTTAATGTCTTTTTCTTATAAACTATTAAAGCAACTTTATAAATAGTTTTTCTGCTAATAATTTCTTTCTTTCCCTCCAGTCTGCATTCCACAGAGCTATGTTACTATTTTCATAACAAAAACTTGACCACTCCTTTGATTGACCTATATTAAGGATGTTACTAAGCCTAACCAGCCTGTGTTAATAAAAAATATTAACCATCAGGAAAGAATTCACAGACCCTTTGAAAGAAGTGGTTTGCCACTGCAAACTCCATGTGACAGCCAAAAAACTGTGAGTTCCCAAAGCGTGAGGGGGAAAAAGTGTGCCTCCGAACACACATCCCCACTGGGGAACCTGAAAATCTAAATCACAGCAGAAAGATTCAACCTTACCTAGAACTGAAATTGTTTTAGGGAGCTGAGAGAAATATAAAAGTAGAAGAAGCAGTGGGAAGAGCCCTGTGGGCACTCCAGGTCCCCAGCTCAAGCCCAGGGAACCATTCCTGGTTTTATCTCACACGGGCCCTTGGGGAGGGCAGCCAGTGGAATTGGGGAGAGGCCTCAGAATTAAAGAAACTTCTAGCTGAACTTTGTAATAATTTTGACAGAGCATGAATTTTTTTGGGCAGAATCCTGGGGCATGGGGGTGTGGGGAAAATGAGAAGTGCAGACACAAGCGCAAAAGCTGCACCCATGGTGCAGGCAGGCAAGGAGGGGTGAGGCCTGAGAGCCCTGCTTGCTGTATTAGCTGGGAGGCTTGTAGCCTGTGGCAAGATGTTAGCCCTTTTCACCAGCGGCCTGGGTATAACCTGAATATAAACTTGGTGCTGCTGGTGGGGCACAGTGGGAGTGAGAATGGCCTTGCTGGCTGCATGGGACCTGGTTGAGGCCTGTCACTGCTGGCATTCGCCCACTTCCCTGGCAACCTGTATGATGCCACAGTGGCAGCCATAATCCAAATGGGAACATATCTCCATTGGCCTGAGAACCATACCCTCATCCTCCATAGTGGCCATAGCAAGGCCTGCCCAAGAAGAGCCTGAGCTCAGACACACCTAACCCAGCCCCCACCAGATGGTTTTTCTCTCCCTACCCTGGTAGCTGAAGATAAAAGACATGAACTGTGGGGAGCTCTGTAGCACCACCCATTTTCTGAGAAACTAGAATACTTATCATAGGCAACATAGGGCAAGCTTATATCTCCCTTCTGCTACTGGAGCTTGAGCTCTCTTGAAAGCACCACCTCCTGGCTGGAGGCCAACCAACTCAAGCCATTATAGCAACTCATAACAAGACTATATCGTGCTCCATCAAAAAAGAAAACAACAGCCAATTCCACCACCTATAACACCCTAGCTAACCAGAGGACCTGAGTCTGTCACATGAAAAATTCACTGTTAGCATAACCAACATCTGAGAAAACCAGTGCATTAAACAAAACTACAACCAAGGACTCCCACAGAGTCAACCTCATTCCCCTGCCACCTCCATTGGAGCAGGGGCTGGTATCCAAGGCTGGGAAACCTAAAGATGAATCACATCACAGGACTCTGCAAACATTCCCCAGCAACATCCTGGAGCCTGCTAGCCCTGCAAAGTAGCTAGACATGGAAGGGCATTACCAATCACTGCAGTCGGGATCTCAGGAAGCCCCATCCTTAGGGGAACAGGGATAGCACAACATCACATCACATCACAAAAAACTGTGAGTTCCTAAAGTGTGAAGGGGAAAAAGTGTGCCTCTGAACACACATCCCCACTGGGCAACCTGAAAATCTAGATCACAGCAGAAGGATTCAACCTTACCTAGAACTGAAATTGTTTTAGGGAGCTGAGAGAAATATAAAAAGTAGAAGAAGCAGTGGAAAGAGCCCTGTAGGCACTCCAGGTCCCCAGCTCAAGCCATGTGACAAAATGTGTCTCATGTGACAGAAGAATATGAACAGCAGCCCTTGATTTCCAGATCCTTCCACTGAAACACTCTACCCACATGAGAAGGAATCAAAAAAGTAATTCTGGTAATATGAAAAAACAAGTTTCTATAACGCTCCCAAAAGATCACTCCGGCTCTCCAGCAATGGATCCAAACCAAGAAGAAAACTCTGAAATGCCAGATAAAGAATTCAGAAGGTTAATTATTAAGCTACTCAAGCAGGTACCAGAGAAAGGTGAAAATGAAGTTAAATACATTAAAAAATATAGGATATGCATTTTAAAAAGTCTCCAGAGAAATAGATATCATGAAGAAAAGACAATCACAACTTCTGGAAATGAAAGATATACTTAGAGAAATGCAAAATACATTGGAAAGTTTTAACAACAGAATCAAAAAAGGAGAAGGAACTTCAGAGCTCAAAGACAAGGCTTTCAAATTAATCAAACAAAGAAAAGGAAAAAGAATTTAAAAATAAAGCCCACAAGAAGTATGGGATTATGCTAAATAACTAAACATATGAATAATTGCTGTTCTTGAGAAAGAAGAGAAATCTTAAAAGTTTGAGAAATATATTTCAGGAAATAACTGAGGAAAACTTCCCTGGTCTTGCTAGAAATCTAGACATCCAAATACAAGAAGGACAAAGAACACCTGGGAAATTCATCTCAAAAAAGATAATCATCTAGACACATAGTCATCAGGTTATCTAGTCAAGACAAAAGAAAGAATCTTAAGAGCTATGAGGCAAAAGCATGAGGTAACCTATAAAGTAAAACTGATAAGATTAATAGCAAATTTCTCAGCAGAACACTACAAGCCAGAAAGGATTGGGGTCTTATCTTAGACCTTCAAACAAAATGTTTATCAGCCAAAAAGTTTGTATTCAATGAAACTGAGCTTTATAAATGAAGGAGAGATAAAGCCTTTTTAAGACAAATAAATGCTGAGAGAATTTGCCACTACCAAGCCAGCACTACAAGAAATGCTAAAATGAGTTCAAATCTTGAAACAAAACTTCTAAATACACCGAAATAGGACCTCCTTAAGGAATAAATCTCACAGGGCCTCTAAAACAATAACACAATAAAAAAAAAAACCAAGGTATTCAGGCAACAACTGGCATGATGAATACAACAGTACCTCCCATCTCAATACTAACATTGAATGTAAATGGCCTAAATGTGCCACTTAAAAGATACAGAATGGAAGAATGGATAAAAATACACCAACCAAGTATTTGCTTACTTCAAGAGAATAATCTAACACATAAGGACTCACATAAAATTAAAGAGGTGGAAAAAGATATTCCATGCAAATGACACCAAAAGTGAGGAGTATTTATTTTTATATCAGACAAAATAAACTTTAATGCAACAACAGTTAAAAAAGACAAAGAGGGACATTATATAATAATAAAATAACTAGTCCAACAGGAAAATATCACAATCCTAAATATATATGCACCAAACACTGGCGTTCCCAAATTTATAAAAGCATTACTACTAGACCTAAGGAATGAGATAGAAGGCAACACAATAAGAGTGGAGGACTTCAGTACTGCACTGACAGCACTAGACAGGTCATCAAGAGAGAAAGTCAACAAATAATAAATGGACTTAAACGATACCTTTGAATAAATGGACATGACAGATATTTACAGAACATTCTCCCCAACAACTGCAGAATATCCATTCTTTTCATCAGAAAATGGAACATTCTCCAAGATAGGACATATGATAGGACATAAAACAAGACTCAAGAAATTGAAGAAAATCAAAATTATATCAAGTCCTCTTTCAGATCACAGTGGAATAAAATTGGAAATTAACTCCAAAAGGAACCATTCCCCTACAAATACATGGAAATGAAGTAACGTGCTCCCGAATGATCACTGGGTAAACAGTAAAATCAAGATGGAAATTTAAAGAGTCTTTGAATTGAACAATAATAGTAACACAACTTATCAAAACTTCTGGGATAGAGCAAAAGCAGTACTAAGAGGAAAGTTCATAGCATTAAATGTTTCCAACAAAAAGTCTGAAAGAACACAAATAGACAATTTAAGATCACACTTCAAGGAACTAGAGAAACAAGAACAAAATAAACTCAAACCCAGCAGAAGACAATAACAAAGCTAAGAGCAGAACTAAATGAAGTTGAAATTAATTTAAAAATGCAAAAGATAAAACGAAAAGCTAGTTCTTTGAAAAGATAGACAATGTCAATAGGCCGTTAGCTACACTGACCAAGAAAAAATAGAGAAGATACAAATAAGCTCAATTAGGAATGAAATGGGAAATATTACAACCAATACCACAGAAATACAAAAGATCATTCAAGGTTACTATGAACAGCTTTATGTGCACAAACTACAAAACCTAGAGAACATGAATAAATTCCTGGAAATATACAACCCTCCTAGATAAAACCAGGAAGAAATAAAAACTCTGAACAGACCAAAAACTAGTAGTGAGATTGAAACAGTAATAAAAAATTGCAAACAAAATAAAGCCCAGGACCAGATAAATTCACAGCTGAATTCTATCAGATATTCAAAGCAGAATTGGTAGCAATCATACTGAAAATATCCCAAAAGATAAAGAATAAGGGATTCCTCCCTAAATTATTCTATGATGCCAGTATCACCCTAATACCAAAACCAGGAAAGAACATAACAAAGAAAGAAAACTACAGACCAATATTCCTGATGAATATAGATGTGAATACCCTCCACAAAATACTAGCTAACTGAACTCAACAATATGTCAAAAAGATAATCCACCATGATCAAGTGGTTTTAAACCAGGGGTGCAGGTTTGGTTTCACATATGTAAGTCAATAAATGTGATACACAACACAAACAAAATTAAAAGCAAATATCATAATGACCATTTCAACATACACAGATAAAGCATTTGACAAAATCCAGCATTCCTTTATGATTAAAACCCTCAGCAAAATCAGAATAGAAGAGACATAACTTAAGGTAATAAAAGCCATCTATAACAAACCCACAGCCAACATTTTACTGAATGTTCCATTCTACTAGAACAAGAAAAGGATGCCCACTCTCACCACTGCTATTCAACATAGTACTGGAAGTCCTAGCCAGAGCGATCAGACAAGAGAAAGAAAGGGAATACAAATAGATAAAGAGAAAGTCAAACTGTCACTATTCACTGATAATATGATTGTATACCTAGAAAATCATACTCGTCCAAAAAGCTCCTATAACTGCTAAATGAATTCAGTAAATTTTCATGATACAAAATTAACGTACACAAATCAGTAGCACTGCTATATACCAACAGCCACCAAGCTGAGAATCAAATGAAGAACTCAACCCCTTTTAATATAGCTGCAAATAAACAAAAATAAAATATGTAGGAATATTCCTAACCAAGGAGGTGAAAGACCTCTATAAGGAAAACTACAAATTACTGCTGAAATAAGTCATAGACAACACAGACAAATGGAAACACATCCCACACTCATGAACAGATAGAATCAATATTGTTAAAATGACCATACTGCAAAAAGTAACCTACAAATTCAATGCAATTCCCATCAAAATACCACCAGCATTCTTCACAGAACTAGAAAAAACAATCCTAAAATTCATATGGCATATGGACAAAAAAAAAAAGCCTTAATAGCCACAGCAAGACAAAGCAATAATAACAAAACTGGAGGCATCACATTACCCAACTTCAAAAAATACTACAAGTCTATAGTTACCAAAACAACATGGTACTGGCATAAAACCAGGCACATAGATCATTGGAACAGAATAAAGATCACAGAAATAAAGCCAAATAATTACAGCCAACTGATCTTTGACTAAGCAAACAAAAACATAAAGTGGGGAAAGGACACCCTATTCAACAAATGGTGCTGGGATAATTGGCAAACCACATGTACAAGAACAAAATTGGATCCTCATCTCTCACCTTTTACAAAAATCAACTCAAGATGGACCAAAGACTTAAATCAAATACCTAAAACCATAAAATTTCTAGAAGATAACATCAGAAATCTTTTCTAGACATTGGCTTAGGAAAAGAGTTTATGACCAAGCACCCAGAAACAAATGCAACAAAAGCAAAGATAGATGGGACTTAAACTAAAAAGCTTCTGCATAGCAAAAGAAATAATCAGCAGAGTAAACAGACAACCCACAGAGTGGAAGAATATATTTGCAAACTATGTATCTGACAAAGGACTAATATCCAGGATCTCTGAGGAACTCAAATAAATCAGCAAGAAAAAACAAAAAACAGAAAACAAATAATCTCATCAAAAGGTGGGCAAAGAATATGAATAGAGATTTCTCAAAAGAAGATATACAAATGGCCTACAAAAAAATGAAAAAATGCTCAACATCAGTAATGATCAGGGAAATGCCAATCAAAACCACAGTGAGATACCACCTTACTCCTGCAAGAATGACCATAATTAAAAAAATAATGAAATAACAGATGTTGGCATGGATGTGGTGAAAAGGGAACATTTTTACACTGCTGGTGGGAATGTAAACTAGTGCAACCACTATGGCAAACAGTATGGAGAGTCCTTAAAAAACTGAAAGTAGAACTGCCATTTCATCCAGCAACCCCACTACTGGGTATCTACCCAGAGGAAAAGAAGTCACTATATGAAAAAGACACTTTCACCCACATGTTTAGAGCAGCACAATTTGCAATTGCAAAAATGTGGAACCAGCCTAAATGGCCGTTAACCAACGAGTGGATAAAGAAAATGTGCTATACATTTATACCATGGAATACTACTCAGCCATAAACAGGAATGAAATAATGGCATTCACAGTAACTGGGATGGAGTTGGGGACCATTATTCTGGGGACCAGAAGTACAGAGAAAAGCTGATACCCTTTCTTCTGATACTATTCCAAACTACTGAAAAGGAGAAACCACTCCCTTCTTCTATGAGGTCAGCATCATTCTGATACCAAAACCTGGCAAATACACAACAAAAAAGAAAACATCAGGCCAATATCCCTGATGAACATTGATGCAAAAATTCTCAATAAAATACTGGCAAACTGAATCCAACGCAGTACATCATGCACCACAATGAAGTTGGCTTCATCCCTCGGATGCAAGGCTGGTTCAACATACACAAACCAATAAACATAATTCATCACATAAAGAGATCTGAAGACAAAAACCACAAGATTATCTCAATAGACACAGAAAAGGCCTTCAATAAAATTCAGCATCCTTTTATGTTAAAAACTCTCAATAAACTAGGTATTGATGGAACACACCTCAAAATAATAAGAGCCATTTATGACAAACCTACAGCCAATATCATACTGAATGGACAAAAGCTCAAAGCATTTCCCTTGAAAACTGGTACAGGACAAGAAATGTCCTCACTCACTACTCTTACTCAACATAGTACTGGAAGTTCTGGCCAGGGCAATCAGGCAAGAAAAAGAAATAAAACATATTTGAATAAGAAGAGAGGAAGTCAAATTGTCTCAGTTTGCAGATGACATGATCCTGTATCAAGAAAATTCCCTCATCTCAGCCCAACAGCCCCTTAAGCTGATAAGCAGCTTCAGCAAATTCTTAGGATATAAAATCAATGTGCCAAAATCACTAGCATTCCTATACTTCAAAAATAGATAAGCCAAGAGCCAAATCATGAATGAACTCCTATTCACAACTGCTACAAAGAGAATAAAATACCTAGAAATACAGCTAGTAAGGGAACTGAAGGACCTCTTCAAGGAGAACTACAAACCACTGCTCATGGAAATGAAAGAGGACACAAACAAATAGAAAAATATTCTATGCTCATGGAATAATAATTTATAGATTCAATGCTATAAAATAATTTATAGAGTCAATGCTATTCCCATTAAACTACCATTGACATTCTTTTCAGAATTAGAAGAATCTACTTTAAAATTGATGTGAAACCAAAAGAGAGCTCATACAGCCAAGACAATCCTAAGTAAAGAGAACAAAGCTGGAGGCATCATGCTACAGGACTTCAAACTATACTACAAGGCTACAGTAACCAAAACAGCATGGTGCTGGTACAAAAACAGACAGACCAGCAGAACAAAATAGAGAATTTAGAAATGAGACTGCCCATCTACAACCATTTGATCTTGGACAAACCAAGCAATGGGGAAATGATTCCCTATTTAATGAATGGTGCTGGAAGACCTGTCTAGTCATATGCAGAAAATTGAAACTGGACCCCTTCCTTATACCTTATAGAAAAATTAAAGCAAAATGGACTAAAGACTTCAATACACCAAAACTAAAAATGCCCAGAAGAAAATCTAGGCAATACCATTCAGGATATACGCACAGGCAAAGATTTCAGAATGAAATCACCAAAAGCAATCGCAACAAAAGCCAAAATTGGCAAATGGGATCTTATTAAACTAAAGAGCTTCTGTACAGCAAAAGAAACTATCATCAGAGTGAACAGGCAACTACAGAGTGGGAGAAAAATTTTGCAATCTATACATCTGACAGAGGTGTAATATCCAGAATCTACAAGGAACTCAAACAAATTTACAAGGAAAAAAAAAAACCCCGTTAAAAAGTGGGCAAAGGACCTGAACAGACACACTTCTCAAAAGAAGACATTTATGTGGTCAACAAGCATATGAAGAAAAGCTCAACATCACTGATCATTAGAGAAATGCAAATCAAAACCACAGTGAGATACCATCTTACACCAGTCAGAATGGTGATTCTTAAAATGTCAATAAACAACAGATGCTGGTGAGGTTGTGGAGGAATAGGAACACTTTTACACTGTTGGTGAGAATGTAAATTAGTTCAACCAGTGTGGAAGGTGGTGTGGAAATTCCTTAAGGATCTAGAACCACAAATACTATTTGACCCAGGAATCCCATTACTGGCTATATACCCAAAGGAATATAAATGATTATATTCAAAAGATACATGCACACATATGCTCATTGCAACACTATTCACAACAGCAAAGATATGGAATCAACCTAAATGCCCATTAATGATAGGCTGGATAAAGAAAATGTAGGAAATATACACCAGTGAATACTATGCAGCCATAAAAAAGAATGAGATCATGTCCTTTGCAGAAACATGGATGGAGCTGGAAGCTGTTATCCACAGCAAACTAACACAGGAACAGAAAACCAAACACCACATGTTTTCACTTATAAGTAGGAGCTGAACAATGAGAACACGTGGACACAGGGAGGGGAACAACACACACTGGGGCTTGTCAGGGGTTGAGTTGGGGAGAGGAAGAGCATTAGGAAAAATAGTTAATGCATTCTGGGCCTAATACCACTAGGTTATGGGTTGATAGGTGCAGCAAATCACTGTGGTACACATTTACCTATGTAACAAATCTGCACATCCTGCACATGCACCCTGGAACTTAAAATTAAAATTAAAAATGTGAAAGAATAAAAAGGACATATATAATGGCTCACACCTGCAATTCCTGCACTTTGGGAGGCTGAGGCAGAATTGCTGGTCCCAAGAAGTTTGAGACCAGCCTGGGCAACAGAGTGACTCCTGTCTCTACAAAATAATTAGCTGGCATGCACTTGCGCCTCAAGTACTTTGAGAGGCTGAAGTGAGAGGATTGTTTGAGTCCAGGCTGGAGTGAGCTATGATCTGGCCACTGCATGCCAGCATGGGTGACAAAGAGAGATCGCATTCCCCTCTCCTACCAAAAAGAAAGAAAGAAGGAAAGAAGGAAAAGAAAGAAAGAAAGAAGGAAAGAAAGGAAGGAAGGAAGGAAGGAAGGAAGGAAGGAAGGAAGGAAGAAAGAGAAAGAGAGAAAGACAAAGAGAAACAGAGACAGACAGAAAGAGAGAGAGAGTAAGAAATAGAGAAAAGGAAAGAAAAGAAAGCAAGAAAGAAAGAGAAAAGAAAGAGAGAAGGAAGGAAGGGAGGGAGGGAGGGAAGAAGGGAAGCAGAAAAGCAACACAATCTTTTGAGTTCTGTAATCTCAACTTGAGGTTTTCAAATACTGCAAAATTAAGTTCCTCCTTTTCTATTGGAGCCCAGATGTAGAAAGTACCCCACTCATCTTCTAAGATAAGAGCAAAAGTATTTTATCACCTACCTTATTTTGCATTAAGTATCACCCCTGAAAAAAACAACAAAAAATAAACAACTTTCACAGTCAGTTAACTCATTTTCTTTGGGGCATGAGAAGATGTATAGGTGCATTGCTGCACATGTCACCAACTGAAACTATGGACAAAATCATGGGCAGAAATGACAAGTACTATCTGACCTGTGCATATTAATTATGCACCAGGAAAGGATGCAGAGAATAGGTGCCATGGGCAGCAGTTCTTTTTAGGTCTTGAATCTCTTTGGGAATCTGAAACAAGCTATCCATCTCCTCCCTGGAAAAAATGTGCATATATGTATATCCAAGATGCTGCCTCATAAATAGGCAAAATGCTACCAGTCTGGAAGCTCCAGTTTCAGGGACCCTGTTCCCAAGGTTGCTAGTACAGGGGAAGAGCCACCAGGTAAATAAGTGCAGCTCATGCAGATGGGTTGGTTTCAGCAGAGTGGGTTGAAGGTACAACAGGAGAAGAAGTCCCCGTCAAACCTCCTCCCTGGGGATGGAAGGAGTGGAGGATGCTTGAGCCATGATGGGCCAGTCCCAGATGGACTGGGACCTGCCCTAGCCCCATCCAGGTGGGGTGAGAATGGGTTTGGCAAAACGAAGCCTCCTGAAAAATGTGTGAGCCACCCTGATAAGCCACCACCGGGAATGTGAGGCAGGGCTTGTCATCAGCAGATCTGCTTTGTCAAAAGAGGCTGCAGGGAATAGCACGGAGAGAGACCGATGTGTGGGCAGAAGGGAGACTGCTGTCTGAGCAGGGCAGGAAAAAGGGGGCCTGAGTGAGCACTGGCCCAGGACAGTCCTTCTTGACTCTGCCAGGAGCTTACTGCCCAGGAACTTGGCCATCATCTCAGCTACCACCATCACAAGAGGGACTGTGGTGAAAGTGCTCACTTTATAACAATTTCTGCCCATTTCTGTGACCTTAATGGTTTCCCAGCTACGTGGCATCAAGAAGACATGGAATGTGATGTCTTCTGCCCTACACATGGGTGTGTCAAATGAATGTTTGGGGCAGTCCAAGTGTTACTAGGCTGGACTCAAAACATCCTCAGGATAGAAGAAGCCACTCATAAAATAATGGGAACTGGTGCAGGAACTCTGTCATTTAGCACAATATTGAGTCACAAGAATTGTTTTCTTAACTCCTCAGATCAGGAGTGTGAGAAACAACTCCCGTCAAAATATCTGGGGGCCAGACCCATCATTAGTCCCATAAGAAAGCCCCAACCCCAACTCTGGCCAGCCCAAACAAAATGCCAAGGAACTTCTTCTTACAGTTCAGGGACATAAACGGAAGATATTTTTGAGAGACTATATTTGCCTCATTTTAACTAAAAGAAATTTGAGGACAAAGAGAGTAAGGGGCTTTCCCTGCAGTGCACAGCTTGTTCCTCACTGACTACAGGGTCTGACTCCTGATTCAGGCAGTTATGAGAAACTTCCCCTTCTCTTAAAAACAAATTATACACCAGAAGTAGTTTCGCACAAGTGGGCCAAACTGATTTCTGACAAAAGCAATTCAATGGAGAAAGGTACTGGAGCAAATGAGCATAGATATCACAAGTAAAAGGAAAAGAAAATCTCTACCTAAATATCACACCTCACATTAAAAAAATCTTAAATCATGGACTCAAATGTGGACTACAAAATCATAAAACCTGTAGAAAAAGAAGATAGAAGATATTCTTGCAAATTTACAGATATACAGGGATATTTTTATTTGAGACCAAAGCATGAGCCATAAAGGAAAAAAAAATCAATAAAGTGAAACATAGCAAAATCAAAAACTTTGTCTCTGCAAAAGACCTTATTAAGAAGATGAAGAGATAAGATACAGACTAGGAGTATAGCTTCGCAAGCCTAATATACAACTATTAACCAAAGTATATAAAGAACTGCCAAAACTCAACAGTTTTAAAACTAAATCCAATTCAAAAATTGGAAAAAGCCATTAAAAACATATTTAATCAAAGGCATATATAAATGGCAAAAAATGTGAAAAGATGTTACAAAAAAATGAAATAGAAAAAGCTAAAACAAAAAAACACAAAAAAAAGAAATGTAACAATATTCAGCCTCATTAACCAAGAAAGAAATGCAAATTACAGCCATAATAACATTATTACAACAATAACTAAAATAAAAAATAGTAACAAGACCAAATGTTGCTGACAATGCAGAGGAAATAAGTATTAATCATTGCCAGGGGGAATGAATAATGGTAGAGCCACACTAAAGTATAATATACTTTGGCAATTTCTTGTCAAACTAAGCATATAACTACCATACTACCCAGCAGTCATATGTATTTTGGTGCATTTATGCCATAGAAATGAGAACATATTTTAACACAAAAAATATTTGTTCAAGAATGCTCACAGCACCTTTATTAATAATAGCAGAACAATTTAAACAACCTAAATATCTATCAAAGTGAGTAGCTAAACAACAGGTACATGTAAACAATGGAATACTAATTAGCAATAAAAAGGAGCAAGTTAGTAAATCACACAACATGAATGAATCTTCAGGGAATTATACTAAGTGAATAAAGTCAATTATATGCATACTATGTAGATTCCCATCATACAAAATTCTAAAAATGAAATAACTATAAAAATGATGAACTAGATAGTGGCTACTAGGAGTTAGGAAGTTGCAATTGGAATGACAGTGGATGTAACCTTAAAAAGGCAACATAAAGGATATCTGTGGTGATAGAACTGGTTCATACTTTGTATCAATGTCTGTATGCTGGTTTTGACATGATACTGTACTTCTGCAAGAAGTTACCATTGAAGAAAACTGGATAAAGTGTAGATTGTCTCTCTGTATCACTTCTTATATCAGCATGTAAACACATAGCCATCTCAAATTCAAAGGTCTGACAACCAAAAAAAGTACACAAGAACAAAAAAAAGCACTTCTAATTATTTTTAATTGTGGCAAAATATGCATAACAAAATATACAACTTCCATTTTTTTTTCTAGAGACAGGGTCTTCATTCTGTTCCTCAGGCTGGAGTGCAGTGGTTCAGTCATCACTGACTGCAACCTCAAAGTCCTGGACACAAATGATCCTCCCACCTCAGCCTGTCAAGTAGCAAGGAACACAGCTATGCATCATCACATCCAACTAATTTTTTTTTTGAGACAGGATCTCACTATGTGGTCTAGGCTAATTTTGAAATGTTACAATTCATTGGCATTAAATATATTAACAGTGTAATGTAACCAACTATTTTTAAAAGTTTCACATACCAAACTAAAGCTTTTTATGCATTAAGAAATAATTCCTCCATCCTTACTCTCAAACCATGGTAATCTCTACTCCACTTTCTGTCTCTATAAATTTTACTTCCCAGTATGTGAGATCAAGCAGAGAATATTGCCATAAGCACACAAATTCCAGTTCTTCTTGCTCTCATGGGCCCACCGTTCTGGCAAAAATTTCTGGATCCTCAAGTACCTGGATGGCCATTACCACCCGCACTGAGTCTCTTAACTGTGAGCACTGAAATGTATGCAGTGCCAAAAAAGTCAAGTGCATTCTTGTCGTAGCCCATGTGCACTGGGCAAAGTCCATCCTGAGTGTGAGTGCTGACCGAGATTCAGTTCCTTCAGAGAACATACTTTGTGCCCTTTGCAAACGTTCCTCTAATCTTTACATCACCACTAGGAAGACTGCAGAATCAGCCTTCTGCAAAACTAAAAATTGTACATACTCAAGTCCCTGATATAAAATGCTATAGTATTCCCATGTAACCTATGCACTTTACATGCATATTTAAATCATCTCTAGACTATGTACAATATCTAATACAGTATAAATATGATATCATAATTGTTATACTGTATTGGTTTTAAAATTTGTATTATTTTCTATAGTTGTGAGAGTTTTTAAATATATTCAATCCACAGCTAGTCGAATCAGATGCAGAACCTGAGACTAAAGAAGACCAACTATACATACAAATACAAATCTAACGCTCCCCAGACTAATTTACATACAGCTAGGATGGAAAAGCAGCAGGTTAGGATGCTTTATTTACATGCACACATCCTAAATTAATACAAAAATGTGAACAACTCTGTGGTACCACCTCAGGATTTTATCTGATTACTACTGGTAAATACTATGATATGGGTCTACCATTCCTTTCCTCCCTGCCAAAAACTCCAAATTTTAAAACAATATAAATAGTTGTATACAATTCAGTCAATGACGATAATGACAAATTTACAGCTCCAATGCAGGCAAAAACAACATAATCAGAATAATGAGAGAATTCTAAAACATATTCCAGAATGATGGAAGGGGTAGGAGACAGTTTTGTTTGAAGGGATGGACACTTTAAACATACTGAAGAGCAGTTGCTGAGAGTCAACAGACCACTGTGTGCTCAGTATGAACACCAAATAAGGCAAATTTGAATGGATAGTGGAACCAACCAAAACTAAAAGGATAAGTGAAACTTAACTTGCAGGTGCAGCCAGCCCAACAACAACAACAACAACAAAAACAAGAAATCTAACTCTAATCTAGCTTATAGTCCATGGTTAGAAATGCCACTGAACAGAAGAAAGGTAACAGAGATGTCAGCCATATGACTGCTGATGGGCCAATTCTTTGAGTCTCTGAAATCTCAGCATCAAGACCAACCTCGAAATAGCAATGACACCTGTGATTTCAAGACTATAATGTTCCAGTTCATTTGCTTTGGATAATACTTACAGGTATTTTAGAAATTCTGTATTATTAACGTTGATTGGAGATGATGCAACATTGCCTTACAACAGAATTTCATAGCAATAGTTACTTTAAAAATCACCCTTATAGGCCAGGAGCAGTGGCTCACACCTGTCATCACAGCACTTTAAGTGACCAAGATGGGAGGATCGCTTGAGGTCAGGAGTTCAAGACTAGCCTGGCCAACATGGTGAAACCTTGTCTCTTCTAAAAATACAAAAATTAGCTGGGCATGGTGGCACCACCTGTAATCCCAGTTATTCAGGAAGCTAGGGCAGAAGAATCACTTGAACCCAGGAGGCAGAAGTTGTAATGAGCCCATATCGTCCCCTGCACTCCAGCCTGGGTGATGGAGTAACACTCCACCTCAAAAAAAAAAAAATCACTCCAATAGTATCCACTTATTCTTGAATAGAAATAGTGTGCTACAATTTTCATTTTCTCTAGCATCTTCTTCTTCTTGTTTCTGAGTTTTCACTTTGGTTCTATCTTTCATTTAGTATTAGACCATATTTTAATTTTTACTTCCAAAAACCACCCATCATGAGGAGAAAAAAAAAGGTGATTAGAATGTTTTTTCCAAAACCAAATAATTAATAGAATAACCATATGTAAAATTTGAAGAAAGAGGAAAGAAACACGAAACACAGCTTGGCAGTCAAAGACAGGTTTTCTTTTCTTTCTTTTTTTTTTTTTTTTGTTAATAACATATTATTTATTTACCAAGAAGAGAGCAGTCTCATTAATGTTATCAAGGAACTATATCCTTCAGCACTTTTGCTTATCGCCTCTTGCCTGCAAGATGGCTGCCCCTCCAGGTATCAAGACTACATTCAAATTTAGAAAACAAATAACTGGTGTGTGTGTGAGTGTGTGCTTTCTTCGCATAAGACTTTGTCTTTTTATCCAGTTAGCTTCTCAGAATCCCCACTAGCCAGAACTGTGTCACATAGTCATTCCAGTTGTCAGGGAGGCTCAGAAAGCAGGTATCAAACTCTCTGGCCACTATTCTATAGTGAAAGCTAGCATGGAATAAGAGATTTGGATCACATGACAGCTGCAGAGGTGTGCTGCGAAGATCTCCCTTTAAGAGAGAAATTCACTGTTGAGCTGCAAGGAGTATAGTTGGCCGACAGCCTCTAGCTGCAGCATCTTCTAGATATGCCATATTTTTGATCTGAGGCCCATCTCTTCCTGGGTAGCCCCCAGGCCAATATCGTACAAGCTGGGAGTGCTCGGGTGTGGCCCTGTCTGCCCAGCATGAGACTCCTCTAATGAGTAGTCTTTGTTCCAGAGCTCCTTGTTGCATTGGCAGAGACTTATGCAGATCCACAGCATGGTCTGAAGCTCCTGTTGCCCAGTTCTGCTTCTCTTTCTTTCCTTTCACAAGTGTCTAATCTGCATGGAGGTGTGAAGAATTTTGTTGCCCAGTCCTGTTTCCTCTACCTTCTTCTGTCACAGCCATTAGCCCCCAATAAATTTCTTGTACTCCTAATTCCATCACAGTATCTGCTTCCTAGAGGGGCTGAACTAACAGCAACGGGCAACATCAACATGTTAGTTACCTGTAACACAGAAATCAAACAATAGCTGTGCTAAGAGAATATAAGATCAGAAGATCAGGTGCAGGCCTTCTGGTCCTATATTGTCTCAGCACAAGTATTGTCTGATTACAAGCTCATGTTTGTAATCCCAGCACAAACTGGGATTTAGGAGGCAGAGGTGGGAGGATCACTTGAAGCCAGGAGTGTGAGACCATCCTGGGCAAAATAATGAGATTCTATCTCTGCAAAAAATTGCTAAAAAAGAAAAATTAGCCAGTCATGGTGGTGCCCCATGACTGTAGTCCCAGCTACTTGGGAGGCTGAGGCAGGAGGGTCACTTTAGCCCAGGAGGTTAAGGCTGCAGTGAATTGTGATCGTGCACTGCACTCCAGCCTGGGCAACAGAGCAAGACCCAAAGACAGGTTTTCTTTAGTTAAAACCTGAGAGGTGCCCCTGGCCAATTTCAATCAGCAGCCCTTTCTGTTACACACTAAGGGTATATATTGGTTTTAGGGTGGGGGAGCTTAGAAGCTTGGAATGTTTATGTGTGTGGAGAAGTTTATGGTGGGGTTGGAATCTCTCTGGGAGGAGGGGAGGTTTTCTTGGGGCAGACATCTTACCAGCCCAGAGGGGTTTAACTCGAGGCTGGCATCTTCCTGGATGGAGGAGGCTTACGTAGGGGCTAACATGTCTCTGGATGGGGAGGAGTTTGGAATGTTTCTGGTTGGAGATGTTATTTGTGGTTTATGGTCATGTTGACCTTAGCTATAAGGCTGATGCCCTTTGGATTTAGATGGTTTTTTATTAAGATGAACTTTAGAATGAGAGGTTTGTCCATGATGGCAATGCTCCTGCTCTGTCACCATAAAAGTTAATATAAATTGCATAATAAATACGTATTTATTTATTTATTAAATAACATAATTTAGTGTAAAGCTGCCTTGTGATGAAGTAGGAATAAAAATGCTTCTTTTAAAAGAACTTTACCTTTAATTTTTGTGGGTGCATAGTAGATATATATATTTATGGAGTACATGAGACGGTTTGATGCAGGCATGCAAAGCATAATTATCAAATCAGGATAAATGGAGTATTCATTACTTAAAGCATTTATCCATTTGTTAAGAACAATTCAATTACACTCTTGGTTGTTGCAAAATGTATGATTAAATTATTTTTGACTATAGTCACCTTGTGTTAGCAAGCTCTAGGTCTTATTCATTCTTTCTAAATTTTTTAATCAATTAATCATCCACAACTCCCCACCACACAAGCTCTCTACTACCCCTCCCAGCCTCTGGTAACCATCATTTTACTCCCTCCATGAGTTGAATTGTTTTGATTGTTAGCTCCCACAAATGAATAAGAACATATAAATTTTGCCTTTCTGTGCCTGGCTTATTTCACTTAACAGAATGATCTCCAGTTCCATTGACTTTAGTGCAAATGACTGGATCTCATTCTCTTTAATAGCTGAATAATATTCCACTGTGTATATGTACCAGCTTTTCTTTATTCATTCATTTGCTGATGAACTCTTAGGTTGCTTCCAAATCTTGGCCATTGTAATAGTGCTGTGAAAAACATACGGATGCAGGGATGCAGATACTCTTCAATATACTGATTTCCAT